>NT_167249.2:4662258-4724211 GCF_000001405.40 Homo sapiens | reverse complement strand
GGCCAACATGGTGAAACCCTGTCTCTACTAAAAATACAAGAAAAGTTGCTGAGCATGGTGGCAGGTGCCTGTAATCCCAGCTACTTGGGAGGCTGCAGCAGAATAGCTTGAACCTAGGAGGTGGAGGTTGCAGCAAGCCAAGATCACGCAACCACACTCTAACCTGGGCGACAGTGAGACCCCGTCTCAAAAAAAGAAAAAAGTAACTTTGTTCAGGGGTATGACTGAATCATGAACACAGAATTTAGTATTACAGACAACCCTTTGAAAGCAGGCAGTATCTTTTTTTTCCCCCATTGCTCAGCATATGTAGTTGTCACTAAGTGCCTTCTGATTCTTGCATTTAGGAGAACAAGGGGCCTGCCACTCCAAGCTGATGCAGTAAACCAGGGTCTTATGAGTTACAGGCTTTGATTAAGGTATTGGGCTGTCAGTTCCTCAGAATCTCTAAGGGTCACAATTATTTAGGCAAATCACTGTATCCCCATAATCAAAGTATTCCAAGATCACAAACTCAATTTTGTCAGTGCCCAGAACTGACTGCCCAAGTTATTATAAAAAGAAACTAATGCTTACATTGGTAGCATCACATCAACACCAGCACTAGCACCCATGCCATCTGAACTCATGAACCAAAGTGATTTGGAGAGTGAAGGAGGAACTGAATACTGAGCCCTGCCCCTCATTTTGTCCAACTAGAACATCAGAATGTGGCCCTATTTGGAAATAAGGTCGTTACGGAAATAATTAGGTAAAATGACGTTATATTTGATTAGGGTGGGCTCTAGATCCAATGACAAATCATGAGAGAGACACGAAGAGGACCATGAGATGACAGCAACAGATTGGAGTAATGCAGCTACAAGCCAAGGAACACTAAGGATTACTGACAACCACCAGAAGACAGGAAGAGGCAAGGTAGGATTCTTAAGTGCCTCCAGCGCCAAGAGTAATTTTCTGCTTAGTTTATATGAACTTGTTACAGTAGGCTCCAGGAAACTAAAACAAATGGCAGTTCCTATCTGCAAGAAAGAGATCAAGGGTTGGCTTCACCGTGGCTCATGCCTATATGCCTGTAATCCCAGCACTTTAGGAGGCTGAGGCTGGAGGATCACTGAGCCCAGGAGTTCAAGACCAGCCTGGACAACACAGCAAGATCCAGATTAGCCAGATGTGGTGGTGCACACCTGTAGCCCCAACTACTTGGAAAGTTGAGGTAGGAGGATTGACTTGAGCCCTGGAGGTCGAGGCTGCAGTGAAGAGTGATTCCGCCACTCCAGCCTGGGCGACAGTCTCAAAAAATAAATGTGGCTGGGTGCAGTGGCTCACGCCTATAATCCCAGCACTTTGGGAGGCTGAGGTGGGTGGATCACCTGAGGTCAGAAGTTTAAGACCAGTTTGACCAACATGGTGAAACCCCATCTCTTCTAAAAATACAAAAATTAGCTGGGCGTGTGCCTGTAATCTCAGCTACTTGGGAGGCTGAGGTTGCAGTGAGATAAGATTGCACCATTGCACTCCGGCCTGGGTGACGGGGTGAGACTCTGTCTCGGGATAAATAAATAAACATGACCAAGGGTCAAATTATTAGGTTGATTCAGAAGAGAGCAGGGTCTTTCAAATTTATTTATTAATTAAATGACGAGGTTTCACCATGTTGACCAGGCTGGTCTCGAACTCCTGACCTCAGGGGATCCGCCCACTTCAGCCTCCGAGTGAGCCACTGCACTAAGCCTCAAATTTAATTATATGTTTACAAGTGAAAAGATTTACTTCAAAATGGGTGTGGGAAGAGATATAGATGAAATAAGATTTCTAATTTTTAGTTAGATACATCCATGAAGGTTATTCTCTATTACACTTATGAATGCTGCACCTCTACTTAAGCCTCACAGCCGGTCTCTGAAATAAGTACAGTATTTCACACTGCCTTATTAGTTTCACAGAGCACCCAACAGAAGGAATTTCCCTCTACAAATTCCTCAACAGAGCCAACAGTATCCCTACTACTATCCATTCCCTAACGTCGCCTAAGTACCTACCATGCAACAGAAGCCAAGAAGACAGGCCTAGCCCTGCACGCATGGACACATACTGGTAGGCTATTTCCACAACTAACTACACATTCTGACTTAAGGAAAAAAAAAAGAACGTTATGTATCTACAAAGCCAGGAATTCATTAGGTTTGTGGAGAGAAATACTCAAGTGAAATAATATTCTTGCATTCATTTATTCGATTCTTAAAAGCCAAAGAAAGATGGATGTACTCCTTCACACTTCGACAGGAAAGGAGTGTCAATTATGGCTCATCTGAGTAAATGTCCCACTCAGACTTCTTCCACCCTCCATCTACAGGCTTCTTCACACTTTTTATCTGTTGGTATTTCTACTTATCCCTCAAGATGCCCAATAATCCTCCAATTCTCAGGGAATATAAATTTCGCAGGAAGGGTTGCTGTTATGATGGTGGGATGGGTAAAGAAACCGAATCTAGAAGAAATCTCACAAGCTCGTGGTTCAGGAAAATCTTAGCGAATTCGGGTGAGCAACCATACCTCCTCCCCACTTCCCCAGGTGAAATGTTTTGGCTTGACCTTAGACCACTATCTTGGCTTTAATCACTTATTTTCTGTGGTAAATGCTAAAGGGGTCAGTCTCTCCCTAAACCACTTTCTTTTCTTAATCCAGCAGTCAAGGTGATCTGGATGAGACTCAAGTCTCCCCAGCCTTGCTTCATTTTTGCTTATGTCTTCACAACCCAATTCTCATTTACATTCCCTATTCCTTACCCTACTTCACTTACCTTAATGGCAGTGATGGCAAAGGCTATTTTCCGCCGCCCATCGATGTTGGTGTTGAGTACTCGCAAAATATGCTGGAACTTTTCAGGGATCACTAGAGACTAGTTGAAAAAGTACGGGGGAAGAAATCAGACACAGTAAACTATCAAACAGTAAGGCCGATAAGGCAAACGAACTTCATACAAAAAGGTTAAGCCTGTCACACAAGTGGCAAGACACCCGCCCCCCATTCCTTAGGTTTTCACACCACAGAGCAAACTCCTCAGTCCTGCAGAGTAGGCACATGAAGCGTTCAAGCTTGGGAAAATGCAACCTCTGGAGAGAGGAAGCAGGTCTCCTGCCCATTCCCAAAAGTGCGTGGCAAAAGCCAGAGTTCCCCATATACGCCCAAGCCTTAGACAGCTTTCGTGCGCCCGAGCAGTGACCCTTCCTCGGGCCCGCTCTCCGGAATTGGAAATCTTTGGTGTCCCTTTCCAGGGACGCGATCCAAGGCTCCATACAGAAAGTCGCAGGCCCTCAGGGCAGGACGTTTCCAGAACCCTGACAGCCGGCTTTCCTTGCCCGAGCTGCGATGCCGCTGGATCACGGCACGGATTCCAGTCTTACCATGGCTGCAGCACAAGCGGCGGCGTGTAGGCCTCCTGTGGAAGAGAGAGCGGAAGTGACGCGATATCATTATATAGCTTCCAGGAGGAAGAGGCGGTGCGATCTAGGAGAAGTGCTTCCGGAAACTGTTTCAGCGCGACCTGGCTGGATTTATGAGAGTATGGCTTGGGTACCACAACTTCCGGTGCGCCTTTCTTTACAGTTCGTAAGGTTCATAGGTAAGAGAACAGCGAAGGTTCCGGGGCTAGTTTGTGTTTCAGACTTCCATATTTCCATTTGCAGTTGGGTGAAGTGGTTAGAGCTGAAAGGGGACAGCTGGAGTCAAACAACTTAACTCAAATATCTGGGAACGATTTCGCGCTGAGGAAGACCCTTTGGGACTTGTAGCTCCACTCCGGGGAACGGACTCGCCGGGACTGACAGTTGCCGGAAGTGAGGCTGCGGGGAATGGCCGCCGCTGCGACCATGGCGGCTGCGGCCCGGGAACTGGTGTTGCGGGCTGGGACCTCAGATATGGAGGAGGAAGAGGGCCCGCTGGTGAGAGCGCGGAGCTGTTTCTCCTCCGTAGTTCCGGTGCTCCTAGCTTCAGAAAGACCTGAGCTGGGTTTAGGCACAAGGGTGGGAACTTGGCTGCTACCCGTGATATTACCTGTTTGGCTCCCCGTACCCTTCCCTGTGATCAGACCCGACCCTGAGCGGGACCCTAGTGGCTGAAACTCATGTTCTGGGGCACAAAATTTCAACTTCACTCCACATTTTGGGGTAGAGTCACGAAGTAGTATAGTGTAAAGGTTAAGAACATGGCCTCTGAAGCCAGACTGCCTGAGTTCTATCTCTGCCACTTACACGCTGTGTGCCCTTGGGCAAGTTAACCAGCTTCTCTGTGCCATCATTTCTCACACCTTTAAGGTGAGGAAGATAGAACCTATTGTATACATCGTCGTTAGGATTAGATGAATATGTGTAAGATTGCACCTGGCATGCAGGTAAACACTATGTGTTTTGACATTTCTAGAAAGCCTGGGGTTCCCCAGAGGTGTGATAGAACACCCAAGATGGCAGGAGTCTGAGGGTCTTAAATTTAAGTGCAAGTTCTGCTCTATCCTCTGCAATTCCTAGCTTTCCTCATTCGGTCATCTCCACTGCACTTTTTTTTTTTTTTTTTTTTTGAGACGGAGTCTTGCTCTGTCGCCCAGGCTGGAGTGCAGTGGCGCGATCTTGGCTCACTGCAAGCTCCACCTTCCGGGTTCACGCCATTCTCCTGCCTCAACCTCCCAAGTAGCTGGGACTACAGGCGCCCGCCACCGCGCCCGGCTAATTTTTTGTATTTTTTAGTAGAGACGGGGTTTCACTGTGTTAGCCAGGATGGTCTCGATCTCCTGACCTCGTGATCTTCCCACCTCGGCCTCCCAAAGTGCTGGGATTACAGGCGTGAGCCACTGCGTCCGGCCTCCACTGCACTGTCTTGTCTTTTACCTTTTTTTGTTTTCTTGAGACGGGTTTCCCTGTGTTACCCAGGTTGACCTTGAACTCCTGATCTCCTCAAACAATCTTCCCGTCTCAGCTTCTAAGTAGTTGGGACTACAAGGAGCCCACCACCATGCTGGGCTACCTCCACTGTCTCACTGGATCGTCTCACTCCTTGTCGTATTCCTTACCCATCAGCACAAAATAGGAGAGTGGGTACAACGTGAGACTCTTAGAATTTTTCAAAGCAGTACCTGTGGCTCCCAGTAAAAGCAGCTCCTTCTCACTTGAAGGACTGGGGATATCCAATTATATTTTTTCTTTCTGTCTTTCACCGTACCCTACTCCCATTAACTTATCCCTTTCCAGGCGGGTGGTCCTGGGCTCCAGGAACCACTGCAACTTGGGGAGTTGGATATCACTTCTGATGAATTCATCCTGGATGAAGTGGATGGTAAGCGATGGCATGGGGTGGGTGCAGTACCTGTAATCTGAGAGGCATGGGGGCTGGAAGGAATAAGGTAGGGATTGGTGTGCAGATACTCAATGTGGGGAGAGGGAGCTGTGGAGCTGGACCCTTATGATAAACTTCTATTTCCAGTTCACATTCAGGCAAATCTGGAGGATGAGTTAGTAAAGGAAGCTCTTAAAACGGTGAGGCTTTCCCCTGTACTAATCTGCCCTTCTATCTATTCTACCCCAAAAGGAAAAACAACAGTCTCTTGCTTTTGTTGTATCAGCCTGGTATCTGACCCTTTAGTCCTTCACTGATTCTGTTACAGTGTCCCTTTACTGAGACTTCCTTCTGACCTGTCATCTTTATGTTCTCCCAGGGTGTAGATCTCCGTCACTATTCAAAGCAAGTTGAGCTGGAGCTACAGCAGATTGAACAGAAATCCATTCGGGATTGTATCCTCCAGCAGAGGGAAGGGGTGGTGCTATTGACATGGGGATTTTGTGGCGTGTGGTACAGATGTCCCAGCTGGGGTCAACATCTCTGAGGTTTCTATCACTTCAAAGAGAAATTGGAGAGGTACTACAAATCTGAGGATCTCCCATCTTCACCATGAGGCCCCTTGACTTTTTGTGGATCAGATATTCAAGAGAGTGAGAATATAGCATCTCTACACAACCAGATCACAGCCTGTGATGCTGTCCTGGAGGTTAGTAATCATGACCTGTGACCCCTAATAGCTACTCTGAACCAGATCATGGACTCTGGTGCCATTTTTAGGTCATCAGCCTCAAGATGGGGACAGGTTAGGGTCATTTTCAAGATGACTTCAGGAGCCTTTTTTGTTATTACTGCCATATTTAATGTTATTTCCTGATAATCTGGGGTGTCTCATCATCTGCCACCCTCAAGGACTGATAAATACTGAAGACTTCACAAAGAGTCTTTGGTGGCCCACTTATCCCCTACAAACCCTATAGCACTCCGGCAACATCTACCCTCCCTACAGCGAATGGAGCAGATGTTGGGAGCTTTTCAGAGTGACCTCAGCTCCATCAGCTCTGAGATCCGGACACTGCAGGAACAGTCAGGAGCCATGAACATTCGACTTCGAAATCGCCAGGCAGTTCGGGGGAAACTTGGGGAGCTTGTTGATGGTCTGGTGGTGCCTTCTGCTCTGGTCACGTGAGTTACCAGTTTGAAGGGTTATAATGTCCATAGCAGGTGGATGGGCTGGGGTGACCCACCCTATTTACCATATGGGTCTCCTGGCTCCAGGTTAAGTGCTTTTTAGAAATTAGTAGCCAGGTTAACCACCATTTCTTTAGGTATGCATTAGGCATCAAAGATTAAGATTAAGAATGATGTAAGATCAGGTGTATAGTGGGGAGGTCCAGGAATAGAAAACTTTGTACATGTGTCCTGACTATATGGTACAATGCAAGGTGGTAGAGATGACAGGGGCTGGAGGTAAGGAGTGTGGTCTGGGTCTGGTTTAGGGATGTCTGGGTCTCCCTTGTAACTCATCCCACCCCTCCCTGCTAACCAGGGCAATTCTGGAGGCTCCAGTGACAGAGCCCAGGTTCTTGGAGCAGCTACAGGAGCTGGATGCCAAGGCAGCCGCAGTCAGAGAGCAGGAAGCTAGAGGCACAGCAGCCTGCGCAGATGTCAGAGGCGTGCTCGATCGGCTCCGGGTCAAGGTGGGAAGTAGGGATGGATACCCTGGAGGCTACTGGAAGCAGCCTTCCCAAGATCTTCACTATGGATTTCCTTGGCAGAGCTCACTGTAGCCTGTCTCCAGGGACTTCACCCTGCCTTTTCTGGGCAGCCCCATTCTTGTCTCTCTGGGTTTCCCTGAAAATCTTGAGAAATACCAAAGAGATATTCACCACCCTTCTGCCTATGTTTACCATTTGTTGCTTCCCCCAGTTCCTCTCATACAGCAAAAGGGTTGCAGCTTCATGCCCTGTGTTTGGTTCCCCACATCTAGGCAGTGACGAAGATCCGAGAGTTTATCCTCCAGAAGATTTATTCCTTCAGGAAACCCATGACCAACTATCAGATCCCCCAGACGGCCCTGCTGAAGTACAGGTCACAACCCCAAGGAAGTGCATGGGATGGCCTTTGAGTTTTTGAGCGGCCTAGTGTGGGCATCTGGTTTCTTGGGAGACAGGTAGACTGACATGTTCCTGACCCCCTAGGTTCTTCTATCAGTTTCTGTTGGGCAATGAACGAGCAACAGCAAAGGAGATCAGGGATGAATATGTGGAGACGCTGAGCAAGATTTACCTGTCTTACTACCGCTCTTACCTGGGGCGGCTCATGAAGGTGCAGGTAAGGTCAGGAGGGAGAGGTATTCCTGGGCACATGGACTGGGAGGAGGGGACATCCCTGGGCAAGGAATATTTTATTGTGTTGTGGGAAGAGACGGTTATCAGTTCTCTTTTCTCTTTCCTTAGTATGAGGAAGTCGCTGAGAAAGATGATCTAATGGGTGTGGAAGATACAGCAAAGAAAGATATCCTAGTACTGGGGAACCCTCATGCCAGGCCTTGAGAGTGGGAGGACTTTCGACTCCAGCCACCAATGCACTGCTCCTTACCTTTTCCTATGGGACTGAAACCTTTTAGAATGTGATGAAAGCTATAGCCTCCCTCCCCAGAAAGATGCACACATTATTTTGACACATAGTTTTGCATATGATTGCAAGGGAGGGAGAGACACCCTGAAGCCCATTCACAGATGTCAGCACGTGGGGCCCTAGTACTGGGAAAGAGGGCTGGCTAGGCCACGTCTGCCTGTCTGGGGTCCCCACAGATAGTGAGTCTTTGGGCCCAGTTATGGTCTCATTGTTTTCCCTGACTCTGACCCATCTTACGATTCTTCTCAAAGCCATCGCTCCGCAGCAGGAACACCATTTTCACCCTAGGAACCCGCGGCTCTGTCATCTCCCCCACTGAACTTGAGGCCCCCATCCTGGTGCCTCACACAGCGCAGCGCGGAGAGCAGAGGGTATGAGGAGGAACAAGCTTCAGTCACGAAAGAGGCTCTGAGCACGGTGGGGAGGGAAGGCCAGACCTCAGGGCAGAGCTTCCCAACCTGCAGGCCCTGTCTTAATCCCCTTAGACTTGGGAGTGGCCTTCTCCAATCACTCCAGCCTGCTGTGATGTGAAAAGAGCTGGGAACCATTGACTTAAGGGCATGCAGAGGGGAGAGACTGGATGAGGGGAATGACAGTCAGAGGCAGGTGTTGAGGTGGATGCAGGAGTAGCAACAGCAGGTGGGTGTAGGCCCTTTTTGTACCCCTATGTTCCCCCACCTTTTCAGTGCCCATTCAGCTTGCTCTTAGACAGCCCGGACCTAGATAGATGCGAAGGGTCTGCCTAGCTCTTATTACTCAGGTTTACTGATTTTCCAGCCATATCCATGGGAAGTCAGTGTTGGGGTCCATCCCTTCTGTTTTTCTTCTTTACTCCTCCTCTCCCAGTATCCATTTGAGGCCCTCTTCCGCAGCCAGCACTACGCCCTCCTAGACAATTCCTGCCGCGAATACCTTTTCATCTGTGAATTTTTTGTTGTGTCTGGCCCAGCTGCACACGACCTGTTCCATGCTGTCATGGGCCGTACACTCAGCATGACCCTGGTAAGACTCCTGTTTCCTGTACCATTCAACACCTTTGTCCCCAGTCTTCATCAGCAGCATAGTGGGGTCATGACTCTGGTAGAACTGAAATCAGGATCGCCTCATTCTAAAATGTCTAAGCCTTGGCTGGGCGTGGTAGTGCACACCCATAATCCCAGCACTTTGGGAGTCCAAGGCAGTAGGATTGCCTGAGCTCAGGAGTTTGAGACCAGCCTGGGCAACAACCTCATCTCTACAAAAAATGAAAAATTAGCCGGGTGTGTGTTGATGTGTGCCTGTGGTCACAGCTACTAAAGATGCTGAGGTGGAAGGATTGCTTGAGCCCAGGAGGTCAAGGCTGCAGTGAGCCATGCACTCCAGAGTGAGACCTGTCTCAAAAAAAAAAAAAAAAAAAATAGCCAGGTGCAGTGGCTTACGCCTGTAATCCCAGCACTTTGGGAGGCTGAGGCGGGAGGATCACAAGGTCAGGAGTTTGAGACCAGCCTGACCAACATGATGAAACCCTGTCTCTACTAACAGTACAAAAATTAGCCAGGTGTGCGCGGCCTGTAATCCCAGCTACTCGGGAGGCTGAGGCAGGAGGATTGCTTGAACCTGGGAGGAGGAGATTGCAGTGAGCCAAGATTGCGCCATTGCACTCCAGCCTGGGTGACAGAGCGAGACTCCATCTCAAAAAAAAAACTTGTTACTTAGACTTGTCAGTGTTACTCCCCCATGAAATCCTCAGTGCGTAGGGTCCCTGAGACTACCCCTACTGCTGACCCACAATCAGGCAATAGCACGTGAAAACTGAGGGTCCCCCAAATCTTGGTGCTCAAACCCCTGACCCAAGCTCAGCCCTGAACTCTGCTGTGATAGGCTTGTGATCATAGATCCTGGTGTGGCCAGGTGCAGTGGCTTATGCCTGCAATCCCAGTACTTTGGGAGACCAAGGCAGGAAGATTGCTTGAGGCCAGGAGTTCGAGACCAGCCTGGGCAATGCGGCAAGACCTTGTCTCTACAAAAAATTTAAAAATAAACTTAACCAGGCATGGTGGTACACACCCATGGTCCCAGTTGCTTGGCAGGCTGAGGTGGGAACATCACTTGAGCCCAGATGTTTGAGGCTGCAGTGAACTATGATTGTACCATTACAATCCAGCCTAGGTGACAAAACAACCTGTCTCTAAAGCCGAAAACACCGGGTGCAGTGGCTCACACCTGTAATCCCAGCACTTTAGGAGGCTGAGGTGGGCGGATCGCCTGAGGTCAGGAGTTCGAGACCAGCTTGACCAACATGATGAAACCCCATCTCTACTAAAATACAAAAATTAGTCGGGCGTGGTGGCAGGCGCCTATAATTCCAGCTACTCAGGAGGCTGAGGCAGGAGAATTGCTTGAACCTGGGAGGCAGGCGGAGGTTGCAGTGAGCCGAGATTGTGCCACTGCATTCCAGCTTGGGTGGCAAGAGTGAAACTCTATCTCAAAAAACAAAAAAAAAGCCAAAAACATAGATCCTGGACAGGAAAGCAGGGGGCAGTTCCATTTTACGTCTCTCCCTTCTGTCCTGTCCAGTGCATCATCCCCAAAGAAACAAATGCGTTTGTTCATAGTCACTGAGGACAACAAACTGACATTCTCTTTTAATCCTCTGTTTGTTCCCCAATCACACAGAAACACCTGGATTCTTATCTAGCTGACTGCTACGATGCCATTGCTGTTTTTCTCTGTATCCACATTGTTCTCCGGTTCCGTAACATTGCAGCAAAGAGGGATGTTCCTGCCCTGGACAGGTCACTGAATTCTGGTCCTTGATGCCCAACAGGCCACAAACTCTCTTGGTCTTGCATGACTCTGCCCTGACCTTAGACTCCTACTGACCTGGTATCATCAACCTTTATTCCCATTCATTTGCTCCGGAGGCAGTAGTGCTGCTTTTTGACTCACCTTTCTCCAACCACTGCCCCCCAACCCCCACAACTAGCTATTGACCATTAAACTGAATGATGCCCCACTCCCTCCCATCCCCCTCCAACATTCCTTGCTGGCTGACCTCTGATTCTGATTAAGCCCACAGGTACTGGGAACAGGTGCTTGCCTTGCTATGGCCACGGTTTGAACTGATCCTGGAGATGAATGTTCAGAGCGTCCGAAGCACTGACCCCCAGCGCCTAGGGGGGTTGGATACTCGGCCCCACTATGTGAGGGAGGGCAAGGGTAACAAAGGGTTCTTGAAAGGCAGGGCTCTAAGCATCATTGTGGGGGTTGGCCAAGGTCACAGTTGTGTCATGGGCCATGCTATGAGCAGGTGTTCTGGGAGGGTGGTGAAACTCATGGTGAGTGGTGCACTGTGGGTAGGAGGGACTGAAGGTAGAGTCACATCACATGGAGGTGGGTTGGCTAAGGAAGTTGGGAGGTTGTGTTGGTTGGGCCAGGAGGTGGGTGTGATTTTCCTTCCCACTCTCTCCTAGATCACACGCCGCTATGCAGAGTTCTCCTCCGCTCTTGTCAGTATCAACCAGACAATTCCTAATGAACGGACCATGCAATTGCTGGGACAGCTGCAGGTGAGGGTCGGACAGGAGACACTTCCCAGCAGCAGGGCTGCTTCCAGTGGGTGGAGTCTGAGGAGGAGCCAGATGGGGCCCAGATGACCTTGCTTTCTGGTGTCACCTCTTCCTCTCTGCCTTTTCAGGTGGAGGTGGAGAATTTTGTCCTCCGAGTGGCAGCTGAGTTCTCCTCAAGGAAGGAGCAGCTTGTGTTTCTGATCAACAACTATGACATGATGCTGGGTGTGCTGATGGTAATAGGTGCTCCTTCTCCTTGCCTTCCTACCCAGAAAATTCGGTTTCCCCCACTGCTGTTAGCTCTGTGAGGGCAGAGATGATGCCTGTCTTGTTCAGTGTTTTACTCTTGGAGTCTGGCACAGTGTCCAGCTTAGTACAATAAGTGTGGAATGAAGGGGACATCCTGAAGTGAAGGACTGCTTTCCCCAAACTAGACATTTCCCTTTGTCTTCCCTTAGGAGCGGGCTGCAGATGACAGCAAAGAGGTTGAGAGCTTCCAGCAGCTGCTCAATGCTCGGACACAGGTAGGGGTGTGGGGAAAAGGGAAGAGACAGCCTTCTGTGCTGTTTTCAGCTCTCTCTCTCTCTCTCTCTCTGTGTGTGTGTGTGTGTGTGTGTGTGTGTGTGTGTGTGTGTGTGTGTAGGGAGTGGCATAATGGATCTCAGGTATGCGGAATTACTGTAACTCTTGATTCACAACATACTGTCATTATTGGTCTATTTTATTTTATTTTGTCTTTGGTTTTTTTTTTTTTTTTTTTTTGAGGCAAAGTGTCACTCTGTCACCCAGGCTGGAGTGCAGTGGCATGAACATGGCTCACTGCAGCCTCAACAGCCTGGGCTTAAGTGATCCTTCTACCTTAGCCCCCTGGGTAGCTGGGACCACAGGTGCGAGCCACCATGCCTAGCTAATTTTTTATTTTTAGAATGAATTTTATTTTTTTCTTTATCTATCCTCTCAAGCATTTATCCTTTGTGTTATAAACAATCCGATTACACTAAGTTATTTTAAAATGTACAATTAAGTTATAATTGACTATAGTCACCCTGTTGTGCTGTCAAATAGTAGGTCTTATTTATTCTTCCTATTTTTGTTTGTACCCATTAATCATCCCCACCTTCTCCCCAGCCTTCCACTAGCCTTCCCAGCCTCTGGTAGCCATCCTTCTACTCTCTTCGTACATGAGTACATGAGTTCAATTGTTTTGATTTTTAGATTCCACGAATCAGTGAGAACACATGACGTTTGTCTTTCTGTGCCTGGCTTATTTCACTTAATATAATAATTTCCAATTCTATGCATGTTGTTGCAAATGACTGAGTCTCATTCTTTTTTATGGCTGAGTAGTACTCCATTGTGTATATATCCCACATTTTCTTTACCCATTCATCTGTTGATGGACACTTAGGTTGCTTCCAAATCTTAGCTATTGTGAACAATACTGCAACAAACATGGGAGTGCAAATATCTCTTCAATGTACTGATTTCCTTTCTTTTGGGTATATACCCAGCAGTGGGATTGCTGAATCATATGGTAGCTCTACTTTTAGTTTTTTGAGCAACCTTCAAACTGTTCTCCAAAGTGTTTGTACTAATCTACATTCCCACCAACAGTGTATAAGGGTTCCCTTTTCTCCACATCCTTGCCAGCATTGCTATTGCCTGTCTTTTGGATAAAAGCCATTCTGACTGGAGTGAGATGAGATCTCATTGTAGTTTTGATTTGTATTTCTCTGATAATAGTGATGGTGAGCCCCTTTTCATATATGTCTGTTTGCCATTTGTATTCTTTTGAAAAATATCTATTCAAATCTTTTGCCCATTTTTTAATGGGATTATTAGACTGTCATGTAGAGTTGTTTGAGCCCCTTATATATTCTGGTTATTAATCCCTTGGCAGATGGGATGTGCAAATATTCTTTGTCTCTTCACTTTATTGTTTCTTTAGCTGTGCAGAAGCTTTTTTTTTTTTTTTTTTTTTTTTTTTGAGATGGAGTTTTGTTCTTGTTGTCCAGGCTGGAGTGCGATGGTGCGATCTCAGCTCACCGCAACCTCCGCCTCCCAGGTTCAAGCAATTTTCCTGCCTCAGCCTCCTGAGTAGCTGTGATTACAGGCATGTGCCACCATGCCTGGCTAATTTTGTATTTTTAGTAGAGATGGGGTTTCACCATGTTGGTCAGGCTGGTCTCAAACTCCTGACCTCAGGTGATCTGCCCAGCTCTGTCTCCCAAAGTGCTGGGATTACAGGCGTGAGCCACCGTGCCCAGCTGTGCAGAAGCTTTGTAACTTGACGTGATCCCATTTGGCCATTTTTGCTTTGGTTGCCTGTGCTTGTGGGGTATGGCTCAAGAAATTTTTGCCCAGACCCGTGTCTTGGAGATTTTCCCCAGTGTTTTCTTGTAGTAGTTTCATAATTTGGTCTTAGATTTAAGTCTTTAATCCATTTGATTTGGTTTTCATATGTGGCGAGAGATAGGGGTATAGTTTCATTCTTCTGTGTAATGGATAGCCAGTTTTCCCAGCACCATTATTGAAGAGACTATCTCTCTTTTTTTTTTTTTCAGACGGAGTCTTGCTCTGTCACCTAGGCTGGAGTGCAGTGGTGCAGTATTGGCTCACTGCAACCTCTGCCTCCTTGGTTCAAGTGATTCTCCTGCCTCAGCCTCCTGAATAGTTGGGATTACTGATGCCTGCCACCACGCCGGGCTAGTTTTTGTGTTTTTAGTAGAGACGGGATTTCACCATGTTAGCCAGGCTTGTCTTGAACTCCTGACTTCAAGTGATCCTCCCACCTTGGCCTCCCAAGTGCTGGGATTACAGGCGTGAGCTACCGTGCCTGACCAAGAGACTATCTTTTCCCCAGTGTATGTTCTTGGCACTTTTACCAAAAATGAGTTTACTGTAGGTGTGTGCCAGCTAATTTTTTAATTTTGTAAAGACAGTTGTCTTTACAAAAGACAACTGTTGCCTGGGCTGGTCTTGAATTACTGCCCTCAAGTGAAAAATCTTATGATTCTTTTTTTTTTTTAAAGACGGAGTCTCACTCTGACTCCCACACTGGAGTGCAGCGATACGATGTCAGCTCACTGCAACGTCCGCCTCCCAGGTTAAGTGATTCTCCTGCCTCAGCCTCTGAGTAGCTGGGACTGCAGGCACGTGCCACCATGTCCAGCTAATTTTTGTATTTTTAGTAGAGATGGGGTTTCACCATGTTGGCCCAGCTGGTCTTAAAACTCCTGACCTCAGGTGATTCACCCGCCTCAGCCTCCCAAAGTGCTGGGATTATAGGCATGAGTCACTGCACCCGGCCTAGATTCTGTTTTTAATGACACTGGAAAACAACGAATTTTTGTTTTGGCATATATATAGCTTTACTTTTAAAAGCAAGAACACACACAAAAAAAGGGGGAAAAAAGCAAGAACACAATAAATGCAACATTTAGATCAACGAGTACCTGTGCACGAGAAGCACAGGGATGGTTTCAGTAGGATTTCATAGTTTGATGGTGACTTTTGCCAAGCTGCTGCTACTTGGATTGTGTGGTGTGTTTGTGAGTGTTTATATCATTAAAAAACAAAACAGCCACTGCACTGGGTTGTTTTATTTTTTAATGATATAAACACTGATGAGACAAGGCAAGAAAACAGCAAGGCAAAAAAGAAAAAAAAAAAAGCCAGGCATGGTGGTATGCACCTGTAGTTCTAGCTATTTGGGAGACAAAGGCGAGAGGACCACTTTGAAATCCAGGAGTTCGAGATTACAGCGAGCCATGATCATGACATTGTAGTCTACCCTTGGCAACACAGCAAGACCCTGTCTCAAACAGCAAAACAAAACAAAAAACCCCAGAATCACAGGATTTTTTTCATGCATAATTTTTCTAATATTGTCATGTTATTGCATATGGCTATAGCTCATTCCTTTTCACTGCCATATATGACTTGTGTGATTAAACATATTCTATAAATGGATTGTTTCCAGTTTCTTGCTTCTGTGAGCATTGTTTTATGAATAATCATGTCTTTTAGCACACATAGATATTGATTATCTTCATCAAAAGTTTCTCTTGGGTATAAACCTAGGACAGTAGTCTTGCTGCTAATAAGATATGCAGTATTAGTCTTTATGAGACAATGATAAATTGTTTTCCTAAGTAGTTCCTTCTCACCAGCAATATGTAAGAATTCCTACTGAGCCACATTTTCTCCAACATGTGGTATTATCAGGTCTTTGCCATTTTTTTTCTTTTTTTTTTTAGAGACCAAGGATGCTGCTAAAGATGCTCGGGATCAGAAATGTTTCAGATTTTGATTTTTTTCGGATTTTGGATTCCTTGCATTATTTTTACTGGTTAGCATCTGTAGTCTGAAAATCTGAAATCTGAAATGCTCCAAAGAGCATTACCTTTGAGCATCATGTTGATACTCAAAAACTTCCGGATTTTGGAGCATTTTGGATTTCAGATTATTGGATTAGGGATACTCAACCTGTATTTCAGTGGGTTTTATTTGTAATTTTCTGATTACTAATAACATTGAGCATCATTTCAAATGTTTAGTAACTATATGTAGGGGTTCAGTCAGGCTGGTGGGAAAAAATATTAGTGATGATAGCCACAAACCCTCTTGGAAGGCCTAAGAGTTTGCATAACTTCAGTAATAGATATGGTTGAAGGCGACCTGATCTTTACCTTTAGTTAAATAAATTAGAGTAATAACAAAGGAATGTGGGGAAGTTATCTAGGTAGCTTGTTTACTCATATGGTCTTAAGACTAATCTTTGATGTACCGCAGGTGCTTAACTGCTTTCTACTCAGGAAGTCCACAATGTCAGTTACCCCGTAGTGGTGTTGACTCAAGTCTTTGTCAATTAATCTTTACTGAATAAATGCGAGTCTCACTAGCTGGTCAGGGCCGCCATTGCAACTGTTTACAGTACTCTTCAGGGAGTCTGTAAACAGCCTGGACACACTCAGCTGGACTGGCAAAGCAGAGTATCTGTGTGTCAGTGTACCTCATTCATCCGTTGCCGGGTCAGGGGTCTGCAAGGGACAGACTCCCTGAAGCTGGTGCTCTGTGTGAGGAGCGTCACCACAACTATACAATTTTTTTTTTTCCTGTAAAATGGCTGTCATAGCATTTGACCTTTTAAAAATCGGCTTGTGGCTGGGCAGGGTGTACACCTGTAATCCCAGCACTTTGGGAGGCTGAGGCGGATGGATCAGTTGAGGCCAGTAATTCAAGACCAGCCTGGCCAGCATGGCAGAACCCTGTCTCTACTAGAAGTACAAAAATTAACCAGGCATAGTGGCGCATGCCTGTAGTCCCAGCTCCTCAGGGGCGCTGAACCTGGGAGGCGGAGGTTGCAGTGAGCCAAGATTATGCCACTGCACTCCAGCCTCAGTTACAGAGCGTGACTCTCTCAAAAAATAAAGAAAAAAATAAGTCTGCTAGTATTTTTTATTTATAAGAGTTCTTTGCATCATCTACATACTAATCTTGTTGATTATACGTAGGTTACAGATTATCTTTTAGTATGTATCTTTTTACTTTTTTTTTTTTTTTGGTGAGATGAGGGTCTTTCTGTGTTGCCCAGGCTCCTGGGCTCAAGAAATCCTTGCACCTTTTTTTTTTTTTTTTTTGAGATGGAGTTTCACTCATGTTGCCGAGGCTGGAGTGCAATGGTGTGATCTCAGCTCACTGCACCTCTGCCTCCCGGGTTCAAGCACTTATCCTTTCTCAGCCTCCTGAGTAGCTGGGATTACAGGCGTGTGCTACCACGCCCGGCTAATTTTTGTATATTTAGTAGAGATGGGTTTTGCCATGTTGGCCAGGCCAGTCTTGAACGCCTGACCTCAGGTGATCCATCCGCCTCAGCCTCCCAAAATGCTGGGATTACAGGCATGAGCCACCGCGTCCAGCCTTTGTTTTTTTAATGTTGCTTTTTGATTAAAGAAATTTGTAATTTTAATATGATTGAATTTATCTGTCCTTCATTTTTATGTCTTTGTTTTTAGTAACAGTCTTGCTCTGTCACCCAAGCTGGAATGCAGTAGTGTGATCATGGCTCACTGTAGCCTCAACCTCCTGGGCTCAGGCAACCCTCCTCCCTCAGCCTCCCAAGTAACTAGGACTACAGGTGTGTGCCATATGCCCAGCTAATTTTTGTTGTTGTTGTTGTTTTGTAGAGACAGAGTCTCACTATGTTGCCCAGGCTGGTCTCAAACTCCTGGCCTCAAGTGATCCTCCCGCATCAGCCTCCCAAAGTGCTGGGCTTACAGCCACCATCTACCACGCCTGACTATTTTTGTCCTGTTTAAGAAATTCCTGGGCTGGGTGTGGTGGCTCACGCCTGTAATCCCAGTACTTTGGGAGGCTGAGGCGGGTGGATTACGAGGTCACGGGATCGAGACCATCCTGGCCAACATGGTGAAACCTCGTCTCTACTAAAAATACAAAAAAATTAGCTGGGCGTGGTGATGCATACCTGTAGTCCTAGCTACTCATGAGGCTGAGGCAGGAGAATCACTTGAACCAGGGAGGTGGAGGATGCAGTGAGCCAAGATCGTGCCACTGCACTCCAGACTGGTGATAGAGTGAGACTCCGTTTAAAAAAAAAAAAAATGAAATTCCTTATTACTCCAAGGCCAGAAAAATATTATGCTACATTTTCTTCTTAATATTGTAGAATTTTGGCCAGGTGCAGTGGCTAAAGCCTGTAATCCCAGCACTTTGGGAGGCCAAGGCAGGAAGATTGCTTGAAGCCAGGAGTTTGAGACCAGCCTAGGCAGTATAGTGAGACCTCATCTCTACAAAAAATTAAAAAAATATATTAGCCAAGCATAGTGGCACACACCTGTAGTCTCTGCTACTCAGGTAGCTGAGGTGGGAGGATCACTTGAGCCTGGGAGGTCGAGGCTGCAGTGAGCCCTGTTTGTGCTGCTGCACTCCAGCCTGGGCAACAGAGTGAGACCCTGTCTCAAAAAATAATAATAAAATTAAAGAATAAACAAATATATAGAGAGAATTTTTTTGTTACCTTTAAGTCTCAAATTTACTTGGAATTAATTTTTGTGTGTGATGTGAGGTAGGGATCTATTTCTTTTTTTTATGTGGATGGTTGGCCCAGAACCATTTATAGAAAATCTTTTTCTTTTCTTTTTTTTTCTTTTCTTTTTTTTTTTTTTTAGACAGAGTCTCACTCTTGTCACCCAGGCTGGAGTGCAGGGCCACAATCTCAGCGCACTGCAACCTCTGCCTCCTGGGTTCAAGTGATTCTCCTGCCTCAGCCTCCTGAGTAGCTAGGATTACAGGCATGTGCCACCACACCCAGCTAATTTTTGTATTTTTAGTAGAGATGGGGTTTCACCGTGTTGGCTAGGCTGGTCTCGAAAAGTTTTCACATTTTAAAAAGTCTTTAAGGATTTTGATTAGAATTACATTGTCTATAGACTAATTTGGAAGAATTGATACTTTATGATATTGAAACTTCCTATCCATGATCATGATCATGGGCTCCCTATCCTTTTTTTTTTTTTTGAGACAGGTTTTGCTCTGTCACTCAGGTTGGAGTGCAGTGGCACAATCATAGCTCACTGCAGCCTTGAATTCCTGGGTTCAAGTGCTTCTCTTGTCTCAGCCTCCCGAGTAGCTAGGACTAGAGGCACACAGCACCACACTTGGCTTTTTTTTTTCTGTAGAGAATACAAAATTTAAAAATTTAATTTTTTGTAGTGTCTCACTAAACTGGGATTACAGATGTGAGCCACTCCACCTGGCCTCCTCCTCCAATTTTTAAGAGAGTCTTTTAATGTCTTTTGATAACCTTTTTAAATTTTCAGCACAAAGACACTGTAAGTCGTTTGCCATATTTTTAGGTGGGTATAATACGTATGTTTAGTTCTACTAGGAATAAATAAATCTTTTCTAGTTTTTTGTCTTTAACATCTTATGTTTTTGATTTCTTATTCTACTGGCTAACACTCCCAGGATGATGTTTAGAAGTTGAACAGAAAGGTGATAGTGAGAACCCTTTTCATATTCCTGATTTTGAAAGAATTGTTGCTGGTGCTGTGGCTCATGCCTGTAATCCCAGCACTTTGGGATGCTGAGATGGGAGACTCTCTTGAGCCCAGGAGTTTGAGAGTTTGAGGGGATCTGCCTGGGCAACATAGTGAGACTCCATTTCTTTTTTTTTTTTTTTTTTTTAGACAGAGTCTCCCTCTGTCTCCCAGGCTGGAGTGGTGCAGTGGTGCAATCTCAGCTCACTGCAAGCTCCGCCTCCCGGGTTCATGCCATTCTTCCTGCCTCAGCCTCCCGAGTAGCTGAGACTACAGGTGCCCAGCACCATGCCTGGTATTTTTTTTGTATTTTGTATTTTTAGTAGAGACGGGGGGTTTCACCATGTTAGCCAGGATGGTCTTGATCTGACCTCGTCATCTGCCCGCCTTGGCCTCCCAAAGTGCTGGGATTACAGGTGTTAGCCACCATGCCCGGCTAAGACCCCATTTCTTTAAAAAAAAAAAAAAAAAAGCCAGGCGTAGTGGCATGCATTTGTAGTTCTAGCTGCTTGGGAGGCTGAGGCGGGATCATTGCAGGAGATTAAGGCACCCACAAAGATGCACTTAAACCAGTTGTTTCTGCTGAGAGCAGCTGGGATTTGTCACTGGATTTGCCAGGTATAGAGACTCGCCAGCTGCCATCAATGCTTCTGGTCCTTTTTGGTCAGCTGCTGCTTCATACTACGTAGGAAAGATTGTTAAAGCCCAGTGCACTGTTTCCTCTGGTCACTCCTCTGCTATCAAGGTGTTCTCTTTTGCGTTATAGAAAGCTTAAAGTTCATCTAAGTCCAGACCAGTACTCCTATAGGAATATAATGCATGCCACAAATGTGAGCCACTTAAATAATTTTAAATTTTCTAGAAGCTACATTAAAAAGTAAGGAGAAACAGATGAAATAATTTTTTAAACCACTACATCCAAAATATTATTATTTCAACATATAATCAATAAAAAATAGTACTGAGGCCAGCACGGTGGCTCACACCTGTAATCCCAGCACAGGCCAAGGCAGGGAGGATCGCTTGAGCCCAGGAGTTTGAGACCAGCCTGGACAACATGGTGAAACCCATCTCTACAAAAAATAAAAAAAAAATGAGTGGGACATGTTGGCACATGCCTGTTAGTCCCAGCTACTCAGGAGGCTGAGGTGGGATAATCACTGAGCCAGGAAAGTTGAGGTTGTAGTGAGCTGTGATTGTGCCACTGCACTCCAGCGTGGGTGATGGAGCAAGACCCTGTTTCCGAAAAAAAAAAAGAAAAAAAAGATATACTTAAAATTTATTCTAAGATGAAGTCTTCAAAATCAGGTGTATATATCATGCTTACAACACATTATATAATTTATGGCTCCTGCCTAGCAGGGGTCATCACTGTTAGTTCAACTTTTCTTTGGCAAGTCTACTCCCTGTGCCCCACCGTACACTGCTACATTATTGTTTGTATATGTGTGTGTGAGACTGCATTTAGGCAACTGTAATAGGTTGAATTTGGTTATTTAATCTCTGTCCAAAATCACATCACAAAGATGCCTTGATTATAGAAAGATCCTTCCTTGCAGCATATTAGTTATTTGACACCCTCAGTGGATATAAGTGAATATTTTGAGGGAAGAATAGAAAAGATACAATTTTTATTTATTTATTTATTTATTTATTTACTGAGACAAGTTGCTGCTCTGTCGCCCAGGCTGGAGTGCAGTGACATGATCTTGGCTCACTACAACCTCTGCCTCCCGGTTCAAGTGATTCTTCTGCCTCAGTCTCCCTGAGTAGCTGGGGTTACAGGCATGCACCACCACACCTGGCTAATTTTAGTATTAATAATTTATTTTTAAATGGAATAATAATTTCACTTTCTTCTTACCAGATCTTTCTGTCTGGGTTGTTTGCTTTTATGAGTTTTTTTGTTTGAATCTCCCTTTTACATTAAACAAAAATTAACATTTTATTATGGGAAATTTCACTATGCTATTAGAAAAGCATAGTGAACCCCCAGGCATCATCAGTGATATTCGGTGTATAGCAGTTCACGGACAGTTTTGTTTCATCTATACCAACACCTATTGCTTATCCTCCTTCTGTGTCCCCCAGTTACTTTGAATTAAATCTTATACATATACAGATGAATATTATCACTTCATCTGTATCAGAATGTTATTTTTATTAAGAAAATTATTTTTGAGATAGGGCCTTGCTGTAGTGCCCAGGCTGGAGTGTAGTAGCATGATATAACTCCCTGCAGCCTCGAACTCCTGGGCTCAAGTGATCCTCCCACCTCAGCCTCCTAAGTAACTGGGACTACAGGTGTGTGCCACCACACCTGGTAACAGATGGTTTTAAAAACTACAATACATTATCACACTTAAAAAAATTATCTTATCTAAAATAACTATTCAGATTTTCCCAGTTATTTCATAAGTGATTTTTTTTTTTTTTTTTTTGAGACACAGTTTCACTCTTGTTGCCTCCAGGCTGGAGTGCAATGGCCCGATCTTGGCACACTCCAACATCTGCCTCCCGGGTTCAAGCAATTCTCCTGCCTCAATCTCCTGAGTAGCTGGGATTATAGACACCCACCACCACGCCCAGCTAATTTTTGTATTTTTAGTAGAGACAGGATTTCACCATGTTGGCCAGGCTGGTCTCAAACTCCTGACCTCAGGTGATCTACCCGCCTCAGCCTCCCAAAATGCTGGGATTACAGGCATGAGCCACTGTGCCTGGCCTTCATAAATGATTTTTATGGTTCAAATCAGGATCCATATAAAGTCCATATATGTGTCTTTTTTTAGTCTATAGATTTCCCTTCCATCTCCTCTGCAATTTATTTTTGGAAGAAACTGAGTTATTGAGTCATTTGTCATCTAGAATGATGTACAGTTTAGATTTTGCTGACTGCATTCCATGGTGTGGCCAAACTTCCTCTGTCTGGTGTATTTCTCATAAGTGTGTAATTAGATGGAAAGGCTTGGTCAGATTTAAATTAGTTTTTTTTTTTCTACAGGGATATTTGAGAGGTAGTGGTATGTATTTCCATCAGGAAGCACATAATGTCTTCTTGGCTCTCTTTGTGATGTTAGTAGCCATCAATTTCAGTGCCTAGATACATTAATTAGATTTCTGTATCTCCTACTATCTCAAAATTTTCCATCTTCTGTCTGTGCTACATTCTGAGTCCTTTCTTCAGTTATAAATTCTAATTCATTGTATAATTCTTGTTAATCTGTTGACTTTCTAAAACTGGCTTTTCATATCTAAAAAAATTTCCTTTTTTCAAGTCTGTTCATTCCTCATAGTTCTTACTAATTGGTCATTTTTACATCCTTTTTTTTTTTTTTTTTTGAGACGGAGTCTTGCTCTGTCATCCAGGCTGGAGTGCAGTGGCATGATCTCTGCTCACTGCAACCTCCGCCTCCCAAGTTCAAGTGATTCTCTTGCCTCAGTCTCCCGAGTAGCTGGGATTATAGGCATCCACCATCATGCCCAGCTAATTTTTGTATTTTTAGTAGAGATGGGGTTTCATCATGTTGGCCAGGCTGGTCTTGAACTCCTGACCTCAGGTGATCTGCCCACCTCAGCCTCCCAAAGTGCTGGGATTACAGGCGTGAGCCACTGTGCCCGGCCTATCCTTAACTTTAGACATTGCACACAGTACAACTGCTATCCGTATCGGATAGTTCTTAAGGTCAGCAGCTATTGCTTATTGTGTCTGCTGACTCTCTTGGTAGCTGCCCTTCTTTTGTGTCTAGTGATCTTTGAGTTCATTGTTTGATCTTAACCAGGGGAACTGTATGGGCCAAAATTAGGATTGAGGATATTTTTCTCCATAGAGGATTTTCCTTAACTTTTGCAGCAGCTGAAAGATGCCATTCAGATGGATCTACATTAGTCATGATGCCAGAATTGGGCAAATCTGCTGACACCAGGACACCTGTGTATATGTGTTTGTGTCTTTCCAGGAATTCATTGAAGAGTTGCTGTCTCCCCCTTTTGGGGGTTTAGTGGCATTTGTGAAGGAGGCTGAGGCTTTGATTGAGCGTGGACAGGCTGAGCGACTTCGAGGGGAAGAAGGTATGAGGAAAATATGGTAATGATGGGATCAGTGGTAAGGGAAGTGGAAAAGAAAAATGAAAGGATGCAGATTACATGGTGGGGGAATAGAGTATGAAAGACTGGATTGAGAGAATACCAGAAAAGAGGGTTTGATGATAAGGATGGCTATACCTTGGGGAGAACTTAGTGGAGTTGAAGATCAGCCAGATCCCTCTCTGACACTGTTTCCTCCTGCTATTAGCCCGGGTAACTCAGCTGATCCGTGGCTTTGGTAGTTCCTGGAAATCATCAGTGGAATCTCTGAGTCAGGATGTAATGCGGAGTTTCACCAACTTCAGAAATGGCACCAGTATCATTCAGGTGACCTGCAAGTCCCAGGCCCCACTCAGATCCCCCATCATTAATTATTTTCCCCATCTTTTTGCTGGGCTCAGCATCATCTAAGTGACCCTTGGTCTTCAGTTACTAGCTGTGCCCAAAGTTCTGTATGAGCCCTAACCTGATTCTTTTTTGTTTGTTTGTTTTGTTTTTTTTTTGAGACAGAGTCTAGCTCTGTTGTCCAGGCTGGAGTGCAGTGGCACAGTCTCGGCTCACTGCAACCTCTGCCTCCCAGGTTCAAGTGATTTTCCTGCCTCAGCCTCCCAAGTAGCTGGGATTACAGGTGCCTGCCACCACAACCAGCTAATTTTCGTATTTGTAGTAGAGATGGGGTTTCACTGTGTTGGCCAGGCTGGTCTCGAATTCCTGACCTCGTGATCTGCCCGCCATGGCCTCCCACAGTGCTGGGATTACAAGTGTGAGCCACTGCGCCTGGCCGCCTAACCTGATTCTTAATCATCACTATTAGCACCATTTTACGGTTTGATCCCTCAATGACTTTCTTTGACCAGGGAGCGCTGACCCAGCTGATCCAGCTCTATCATCGCTTCCACCGGGTGCTGTCCCAGCCGCAGCTCCGAGCCCTCCCTGCCCGGGCTGAGCTCATCAACATTCACCACCTTATGGTGGAGCTCAAGAAGCATAAGCCCAACTTCTGATGTGCCAGAAACCGCCCTGAGATCTGCCGGTCATCTCCATGGACTTCTGCACCCCATTCCATACCCTTCTTCACCTGGGGTACCCCTTCCAGTTTTCCCCTTGCTTCCCAGGCCCTTGACATGGCTTACCTGCCTTCACTCCCAGCACCTTGCCCAACAGGATAAGCTGGATCCCCTTGGCCTTCTGAATATCCCAGTGTCTTCAGGTTTCCCAAGACCACTTCCCTGTGGGCTTCCAAAATGGCCTTTATCATTTCTCCAGTCTGTCACCCTCCTTTCCTGCTCCCATACACCCAAGGCTTGTTTCTTCCCCTGTAAAAACCACTGCCTCAATCTCTGGTTCACTCAACTAGTCACCATGTCCTGAGGCATGAAGCCTCCTCAGCTCTTGGAATTGCTGGCAAGGGGTGACTGCCTCTGAGTCATTGTGTTTTTCAAAGTGATTTCTTTTCTGTAGCTTTTTGACCTAAGATCTCAGCAATTTGAACACTAACCTCTCCCCTCCTGGCTCAAGAATTACTCCGAAGTCAGTCTGCAGAAAATAAATATTTAGTATGACATGACACTTATCCCATTTCCTTTCTCCTTCCTCCTGAAGGTTTTTCAGGTGGCCCCATCTCTAGAATGACCTTTCCTTTCTGACTACTTCCTGGGCTTACATCCCTTCTGGTGGGTGTAACCTCTAACCTCTAGCTACTCCCAGGCCATTGGAGGAAGGTGGCCCCTGGCTAAAATAGCAGATGCTGCAAGGGATGAGAACCAGGCCGCGCAGCCCCAGACACTGTCCCAAGGGCTCCCTTGGGACAAGCCCAAGCTGACTCTGGAATCCCTCCTCCGTAGCAGCTCCATAGCTCCTCTGGTTGTGGCTGTGACAGCCCCTTGCTCGGGGGCTGCAGCACCCAACCCACACCCACACCGTTGGGGCAGGGCTAGACCAGGCGAAATTCGTACCATCCGTTTGTTTGACTTGGAGCCTTCCTGCTGTCCTCGCCTATACGCCTCGTTTGAACTTAGGCTCTAGACTGGAGAGACACGGGGACCCCTTTAAGGCCTAAGAAGAGAGGCGCAGTTAAGGAAAAATGTTACGTTTCCTGTGTCCTCCACCCCTACGGCCTAAACATTCCCTCCCCAGGTCCCTGGAGAGTGGTGGAAAGCGGTTCCTCCCCGCTTAGGCCCTTCGGATGCAGGTCTAGCCCGTCGGCAACGGGAGGTGTCCTGAGTGGGTCTGTGACTGCCGAGCACACCCGCCGCGGAGCGGAGGCTGCTGCTTCCTGAGGCTGAGAGTGGATCCGGCTCCGGGCTCTCCTAATTGGCGGACGCTGGGGGGCGGCGTGGTAAGGCAGAACGGAGCGGCATCTCAGCTCTCGCCTTTTCAGGGTTCCGCCCCATATCCGAGAGCCGCTCTCTAATTGGCTTGGGAAACCGTATCTCAGCGCTTTGGCCTAGCGACTTTGAACGTGTTTGCGCCTGAGACCGAAGTGCAGAAGAGGGCGAGCGCAGGAGGAGAGGCTTGGTGAATCAGCGATTCCTGATTGGCCAGGCGTGCCTTGAGGGCGGGGCCAGAACTGCGTCCTTAACTGACCTCGCCCTTGCCCAGATCACCGCCTCCGCGTTGCTCCGGGTTTACCCCGCCTGACTCGCTGCGCTATGCGTTCCCTCACGCCTGCCGGATGCCAGGCGGCGATGTGCCAGGCTCTGAGGGGCCGCGAGCTCACCCCAGACGCCGGCCCCGGGAATCCTCTGCTCCTCCACTTTCCCTTCCCGCTACTGGTTTCTTGCCCACCCACTCCCAGGTGTCACTCTTGGGACATCCAGATGTTCTGACATTTGACCTGACTCCAGCCTCAGCGCGAGGACGGGAGAAGGGCCAAGGGTATGAGATTTTGGACAGGAGAGGCATTGGCTACTCTGACAAAGAGCGTGGATTCCCAAAGAAAGGGTCCCCAGATACCCCGCAGGGGAGACTGTCGAGACAGGCGACTTTAGCCAACTAATGCTCGCACGCGAGGAGGGCTGTGCAGGCAGGCACCACGGTTCTTCACAGCCTTCCTTCTTTCCTTCCCCTGTCCGTCGCAGAACCCAAATCCTCAGAGCTGATCGAGAAGCGCGTGTTGTTGCAGAAGTCACTGAGGGGCAGACCTGGAATGTGAGCCGTGGGGCGAAGGGACAGCTCTGGAGACTCGTGATTCCGGAACCCGGTGGGCATTCAAGTGATACTGGAGCACGCAGTTTTCGGGGACATTAAGCTCGCCCCAGGGGTCCACAGGAACCCTCTGACCCAACGGTCTCTCTGGACAGGATGATCCAGAACAGACGGTGAAGAGACAAAACAGCGTGAAAGGGAGCGGCGATACCTAAACTGACCTCCGGAGGGCAGCATGATCAAGGGAAGGAGCTGTTCTCGCTCCGCTCAAACCCCCGCGCAGCCTCTGCAGCTTACTCCTGCTTCGGAAGGCGGCGAGGTTCCACCCCCACCACCCCGGTCCCCGCCGCCCTCTTCGCGCTGAAGCTGCGGAGGGTCTTTTTCTTCAGCCCCCAAATCCTCTGCTCTGTGGCTTAAGATTCCCAGGCTTAAACCCATAACTGCTAGGGTCATCACTCCTCAAACTTCTCCCTCACTTGTTTTGCTGATGACGGACACAGGGGCCTCACAGACTCAGAAGCATCTGGAGTCATTTCGAAGGACAGAACTGTGGCAATATCCTCTTTCCCCTTTCTAATCTCTGAGAACAGTGTCTGTATATGGCACGGGGGTCCCTAGTGTCATATAGAAGGACTCGGAGATGTCCTCATGGGCTGTAACGGCCCCCGGTGCTATTCAGGGATCTCTGTTCTTTAAAGAAATATCATTTCCCCTTATTTCTCTACCTTTGTGCCCTCACCTCGCCCTGAATTGTTTCTTAAACTGGGCTTTCTGGGAAACGTTTACTTCGTGTTCAACAGCAAAGTCTCGGCATAAGGCGAGGGCGGCAGGGGGTGGGGGGCGGGCGTTTGCTCGCCTTGGCATTAATTTCAGAGCTGCTGAACGTGGACAAAAGAGAGGGAACATCCTCCTTTCTTCCATTCCTGTAAATATGGACCCACCCACCCTCCACTTAAGATGGGTGGCTTTTCTGATTTTAAGATATCAAGCAGCCTGGCGAGGTGGCTGACACCTGGGATCCCAGAACTTTGGGAAGCCGAGGCGGGAAGATCCCTTAAGGCCAGGAGTTCTAGACCAGCCTGGCCAATATGGCGAAAACCCATCTCTACTAAAAATACAAAAATTAGCCTGGCGTGGTGGTGCCTGCCTATAATCCCAGCTACTAGGGTGGCTGAGTCAGGAGAGTCGCTTGAACCTGGGAGGCGGAGGTTGTAATGAGCCGAGATGGCCACTGCACTCCAGCCTGGGTGACAGTGAGACTCTGTCTCAAAAATAATAATAATAATAATAATAAAAAGATATAAATTGGCTGGGCTTTAAAATAAAGTAGTCAGAGGCCCAGGGTGGTGACTCATGCCTGTAATCCTTTTGGAAGGCAGAGGCCAGAGGATCTTGAGCACAGGAGTTTGAGACTAGCCTGGGCAACATAGGGAGACCCATCTCTACCAAAAAAAAAAAAAAAAAAAAAAGCAAAAAGCCAAGCATGGTGGCCCATGCCTGTGGTCCCAGCTAGTTGTGAGGCTGAGGCAGGAGGATTGCTTGAGAACAGGAGTTAGAGATTGCAGTGAGCTATGATTGCACTACTGCACTCCAGCCTGGGTGACAGAGTGAGACTCTATCTCTTTTTAAAAAATTAAAAAACAAAGTAGATTTAGTGTGAAGATTCAAGGAAAGAAAGAGAAAGCAAGACAAAACTTTAAGGAGAGGAGAATCGAAATTGGCTGACTTCACCCTGGACATAATGGACACAGCTATTCATGTTACGTACTAGCGTTAACAAAGTGTTTTCAGAAGCAGTTGTCATTAAACCAACACATTTATTGAAGCTCTTCTCTGTGTTCTGTGATAGGCACTGCGGATTCAGCAGAGACTAAATCAAAGTCCTTGATCTCGGAGAGCACATATTTCATCTAATTGAATTCACATACCAGCCTTATGAGGAGGTGTTCTTCCTGTTTCAGGTAATGAGCTTGAATTTCAAATAATGAGTTCAAAACCATATAGGCACTCAGTGGCTGAACCTTCTGTGCCCACATTCAGCTTTTGTTCTATGACTCCAGGCTGGGAGTCATGGAGCTGAGGAGGCAGCCGGTTGTAGAGAAGCAACAGATTAATAAGTAATAGTAAATTATTGAAAAAATATTTACAGAACTGAAGGAAAAGCTGAACAGGCGGTCTTTGGAAAGGACAGAAGCCAGGATAGTTCCAGCATCCAGGCAGCAGACACCAATGGTCAGTGCTTCTACTTTGGATCAAAAAGAGAGAACTCCAATAGGCTTAGGGTGGGTCAGGTGCTCACACTCATCTGAGGAAGGGGAGGGTCCCTTGAGGAATAGTACCATAGACTACCCAATGTTGGAGGATAATGGCCCCAACGCAAAAATGGGATCTTGCCACCAGACAAATGGGATATAGATGCCAGGCTGCAAAATCCAACAAATGTACACGTGCCCAAATCCCGACTCCATCACTAATAGCCATGCAATCCTCTGACTATCAATTAGATTAATTGACACTCTTTTTTCTCTCGCTACTGTGGTACATGCAGTAGTTACCTTTATTCTTCACTTTGTTTTCTCATAAGACTAACAAGCAGTTTTTTAAAATAAAGAAATAAAAGCAAAATTGCTTATTGTCTTAGTCTATTCATTGGCAAACTAGTAACATTAAATAAACTCCAGACAGAGCCACTGGAGAAGAATCAAGTACAACTTAGTAGAAATAACACCGTATGTGTGAAGGTGAGTGTGTGTGTGTGTGTGTGTGTGTGTGTGTGTGTGTGTGTGTGATGGAAAATACTTTGTCCTGCCCAAACTGTAAGTCATGACCATGCCCCTCTCAGCAGAAGTTTATCTTCATCTCATTTGGAAGTTTATAAGAACACAGCTTAAAAAAAACCTGTGATTTTGGAGCAAGGTCAAGCCTTTGCTATTGCTTCCACATTTTGTTTTGTTTTATTTATTTATTTACTTTTCAGTTTTTTGGAGTTTTCTTTATTTGTTTGTGTTTTTGAGACAGGGTCTCGCTCTGTTGCCCAGGCTGGAGTGCAGAGGCACCATCTCGGCTCACTGCAACCTCTGCCTCCCGGGTTCAAGCGATTCCCCTGGCTTAGCCTACTGAGTAGCTGGGATTACTGGCACGCACCACCACATCCAGCTAATTTTTGTATTTTCAGTAGACACTGAAATACATGTTTGCCATGTTGGCTGGGCTGGTCTCAAACTCCTGGCCTCATGTGATCTGCCTGCCTCGGCCTCCCAAAGTGCTGGGATTACAGGCATGAGCCACCACGCCTGCCTAGTTTTTAGTTTTTTGAGACAGAGTCTTGCTCAGTTACCCAGGCTGGAATGCAGTGGCATGATCACAGTTTACTGCAGCCTCGACCTCATGGATTTAAGCAATCCTCCCACCTCAGCCTCTGGGATAGCTGGGACTACAGTCATGTGCCACCACACCTGGCTAATTTTTGTATTTTTTGGTAAACGAGGTTTCACCATGTTGCCCAGGCTGGTCTTGAACTCCTGAGCTCAAGTGATCTCCTACCTCGGCCTCCCAAAGTGTTGGAATTACAGGCATGAGCCACTGCCCCAGCTGTTTTATTAATTTAGTTAAAAATATATGAAAAGAGGCCCTGCGCGGTGGCTCACGCCTGTAATCCCAGCACTTTGGGAGGCTGAGGTGGGCGGATCACCTGCGGTTTTGGAGTTCAAGACCAGCCTGACCAACATGGAGAAACCCCATCTCTACTAAAAATATAAAAAATCAGCTAGGCATGGTGGCACATACCTGTAATCTCAGCTACTCGAGAGGCTGAGGCAGGAGAATTGCCCTAACCCAGAGGAGGTTGTGGTGAGCCAAGATTGCGCCATTGCACTCCAGCCTGGGCAACAAGAGCGAAACTCTGTCTCAAAAAAAAAAGTATATATATATATATATATATATGAAAAGGCTGGGTGCGGTGGCTCACGCCTGTAATCCTAACACTTTGGGAGGCTGAGGCAGGTGGATCACCTGAGGTCAGGAATTTGAGACCAGCCTGGCCAACATGGCAAAACCGTGTCTCTACTAAAAATAAAAAAATTAGCCAGGCATGGTGGCAGGCGCCTGTAATCCCAACTACTTGGGAGGCTGAGGCAGGTGGATCACCTGAGGTCAGGAATTTGAGACCAGCCTGGCCAACATGGCAAAACCCTGTCCCTACTAAAAATACAAAAATTAGCCAGGCATGGTGGCAGGTGCCTGTAATCCCAACTACTTGGGAGGCTGAGGCAGGAGAATTGCTTGAACTCAGGGGGCAGAAGTTGGCAGTGAGCCAAGATCACACCATTTCACTCCAGTCTGGGCAAAAGAGCAAGATTCTGTCTCAAAAAAAAAAAAAAAAAAAGTATATATATATATATATATATATATATATATATATATATATATATATATATATACATACACACACACATACACACATACAGGCACTAGCCAGGCGTGGTGGCTCATGCCTGTAATCCCAGCACTTTGGGAGGCCGAGGCGGGCAGATCACAAAACAGGCAGGGCATGGTGGTCCACGCCTGTAATCCTAGCACTTTGGGAGGCTGAGGTGGGCAGATCACTTGAGCACAGGAGTTCGAGACTAGCCTGAGCAACATGGCGAAACTCTGTCTCTACCAAAAATACAAAAATTAGCTGGGTGTGGTGGTGCATGCCAGTAATCCCAGCTACTCCGGAGGCTGAGAGGCAGGAGGATTGCTTGGGGAGGCAGAGGTTGCAGTGAGCCGAGATGGCACCACTAGACTCCAGCCCAGGTGACAGAGGGAGACCCTGTCTCAAAAAAAAAAAAAAAAAGAAAGAAAAGAAGAAAAGAAAAACAAATCACCTGCCTTATGAAGAAACAGTTTGTAATAGATATAAGACACAGAATGTGCAGCCCCTGGTATGGAATAAGTCCTTAGAAAATGTTAGTTTCCTCTCTGTCCCTGTGTGACATGAAGGGAATTCCAGGGCCAGTGCCACTTCCTGGTGGTTTCCCTCACTTAAGTGCTGTGTACCCCATTGCAAAAGCATGTCTTCCAGGTTCCTGATACCACATCCCATGTCCTCTGCCTTTGGGGCTCTCATAGGATTAAGTGTCATTTTCCCTATGAACTAGAAAAGAATCTTCTGAACGTCTGCCTTGGGACTGATGATATAGCTGAGCTGAAAGGACAATTAGTTTTCCTCCCCAGACCAACCCAACCTTCAAGGCTGGGGACTCATTTGATGCTCCCATTCAAACATTTGGAGAAAATTGTCTCTGAGTACCAGGTCTTTTTAGCATATTTTCTCCAAATGTTACATCCTTAGGGGCTTTGAATAGTAGAAGAGCCTTCAACATTGGTTCAGATGGAAGCATGCAGGCATGTGGAGAGTTGCCACTCCCTGATCCCTGAAACAAGGCTTAGGATGGAAAAGAGCCTCCTGGGGAGGTTGGCTCTGAATGTAAAGCTGGGAGAGGCACCTCCTGTCAACCTAAGGGCTTGTTGGTAGGGGCAACATGTTGACCTGGCTTCCTTCCCACTCTGAGACATCACTGGCTCTCATGCAGAGCTATTTTCCTTCTTTCTTTCTTTCTTTCTTTCTTTCTTTCTTTCTTTCTTTCTTTCTTTCTTTCTTTCTTTCTTTCTTTCTTCTTTCTTTCTTTCTTTCTTTCTTTCTTTCTTTCTTTCTTTCTTTCTTTCTTTCTTTCTTTCTTTTCTTTCTTTCTTTTCTTTTCTTTCTTTCTTTTTTTTTTTGAGACGGAGTTTCACTCTTGTTGCCCAGGCTAGAGTGCAACGGCACGATCTCAGCTCACCACAACTGCCACCTCCCTGGGCCAAGCAATTCTCGTGCCTCAGCCTCCCGAGTAGCTGGGATTACAGGCATGTGCCACCATGCCCAGCTAATTTTGTATTTTTAGTAGAGATGGGGTTTCTCCTTGTTGGTCAGGCTCGTCTCAAACTCCCAACCTCAGGTGATCCACCTGCCTTGGCCTCCCAAAGTGCTGGGATTACAGGAGTAAGCTGCCGTGCCTGGCCTTTCATTCTTTTCTTTCCTTCTTTCCTTCTTTCCTTCCTTCCTTCTTTCCTTCTTTCCTTCCTTCCTTCCTTCCTCCCTCCTTCCCTCCCTCCCTCCTTTCTTCTTTCTTCTCTTTCTTTCTCCTTCCTTCCTTCTCTCTCTCTTTTCTTTTCTTTCTTCTTTCTGGGTTTCGCTCTATTGCCGAGGCTGGAGTGCAGTGAGTGGCACGATCACGGCTCACTGTAGCCTCAACTTCCTAGGCTCCAGCGATCCTCCTACCTCAGCCTCCTTAGTAGCTGGGATTGCAGGCATGAGCCACTGTGCCCAGTGTAATGCAGGGCTCTTCATCCAGGATCCCAAAGGGCAAACAAAAATAGGAGAAAATTACATTTCATTTTCACTAATCTCTAACTGAAATTTAGCATTTTCTCCAATGATAAATGTAGGCAATAAACCTACACCGGTATTTGTAGTACATGTGACTGTTGTTAATAGAATTTACACATTTGTGTCATCTTCCAGTAGTTGCAGAAATTTCAAAATGTCATGTATGCTCACGGTTACTTTGTAGTTAGTGGTAGTGGTTAGACTCACCACTAGATCTTCTTCTTACACATTTTGTTTCATTTTGACAACTGTACTTCAATATGATTGTTTTCCTTTGTAATCCCATTTATTTTACTTTATGCAGTTGAAGATTATTCTGACACTCCACAGACTTCACCAGACTTCCAAAACCTGTCCTAGACGTAAAAAGTTAAGAAACCTTAAATCTCTAATGATGCTGTCATTTCCTGTTTTGTATTATCTTACAACCAGGGTAATTAGGAATGCCTTCTTCTTCTTCTTTTTTTTTTTTTTTTTTGAGACGGAGTCTTGCCCTGTCACCCAGGCTGGAGTGCAGTGGCACAATCTTGGCTCACTGCAACCTCTGCCTCCCGGGTTCAAGTGATTCTCCTGCCTCAGCCTCCCAAGTAGGTGGGATTGCAGGCATCCACCACCATGCCCAGCTATTTTTTTGTATATTTAGTAGAGATGGGGTTTCACCATGTTGGCCAGGCTGGTCTTGAACTCCTGACATCAGGTGATCCACCCACCTCAGCCTCCCAAAGTGCTGGGATTACAGGCATGAGCCACCGTGCCTGGCTTGCTTTCTTCTTGTTTAAACTAAAGGTCTTCTTGTAAAATTCCTGCTCATATTTTCTTCATTATTACTCAAATTCAATTATTCATTTATTTGCCAAATATTTAGAAAACACTTCTCTTGTACAAAACCATGCTGCATAAAACTGTTATTATGCGAAAAATAATCCTTACTCGCCATGCCCTCTACCCCGACCCCCCAACCCCATTTACAATCTGGTAGAGCTGGACTGTTTACCCACATAGGACACACAGGCTGCAGCTTACCATGGGCAGGGAGTGGGGATGGTTGTTCCAGGTGCAGGTAATAAGAAGGTGTATTGTCTGTGGAGAATTTAAAAATAATTCTAAAACCAACTTTTTTTTTTTTTTTTTTTTTTGAGATGGAGTCTGACTCTTTGGCCCAGGCTGGAGTGCAGTGGCACCATCTTGGCTCACTGCAGCCTCTGCCTCCCGGGTTCCAGTGATTCTCCTGCCTCAGCCTCCCAGGTAGCTGGCATTACAGGCACACACCACCACGCCAGGCTAATTTTTGTGTTTTTAGTAGAGACGGGGTTTTACCACGTTGGCCAGGCTGGTCTTGAACTCCTGACCTCAGGTGATCTGCCCACCTCATCCTCCCAAAGTGCTAGGATTACAGGTGTGAGCCACTGCGCCCAGCCTGAAGCCAACTTTTTATTGATACTGCGCACCAGCAATTATAAAAAAATGTTAGTGACAAAATACCCCTTGCAGTGTAGCCTCCTCCCCCCACTCCACCCTGCTTGGTATGCCACTGCACACAGGGGAGTTTAACCATTTCCAGTTTACACACACACACACAGACACACACACACACACACACACACACACACACACAAACACACAGAGCCTTTGAGACTTCCTTTTCTCCTCAACTCCCCCAGCCCAGTTCTCATGTCACTCTACTCAGGGTAGGATCTGCAGCACTGCTGGGCCAGTATCCCCAAAGGTGAGCCCTGTAAGCTCCTTGGCCTCTGGATGGTCTCATTAATAGTCCAGGATGAGCCCTGCAATCTTGGCATCTGTAGGCAGGTCTCAGCTCTTCTTCACACCCCTGGGCTTGAACCCCTTGGCAACTGCGTTTGACAGTACATGATTCCCATTCTTCATCTCCAGATTTTCCATCCTTCAAGAAAACACTGGATTTCCTGGTCAAGCCAAGGCTTAATGAACTGGCCTGGCAGCTTCTCTGGTCCTCAAGTTTCCTTTTCTTGCCTTACTTTCTGAAGACTTCTAGTAGTTTTACTTGGAAGTGTCACTGTCTCCATTTTTATTCCTGAGTTTTCTGCAGTTCTTTTTTCTGTGGCCCCACGGACTCATCCAGAGCCTGCAGGGAGCTGACACCTCATCTGAGCTGCTAGAATTGAGGTGAGAAAGGAGGTTCCTAAGTGCAGAAATGTGTTTTCTCCTCTCCAGCCACCACTGAAGGCTTTGGATGTGATTGAGTCAGACCTCTCCTGCACAGTCTCCCTTTGGATTACCTCAAGATAAACCAATTTGTGACTTTAATTACATCCGCGAAGTCCCTTCCCAGCTGCACCTAAGCTAAAGTGTGATTGAATGAATGAAAGAGGGTGTGCTGGCGATCAGCTAGGGAAGTGATTCCAAGGGTCCCTAGACTCCACATTACCAACTGCAAAATGTGACGTTCTTACGTTCTGACAAGCGAACTCTCCTCCCAAATTCATTGCCTGAGTTGATGCAAATGAATTCAGCCACGCCTTTTGGGTTTGGCATCTGAGAAGTGTCTGTGACTTGGGAAGAGTGGTCAGAATGGCGATAATGGGAAGAGACCACATTTCAGCTGGTGGAGAGTGAAAGGACAGCCAACATCTTGCCCTTTCTGAAGCATACACACATTGGAGATTGAAAGTGTCTGTTGGCCTCACAGGCACTGAGGAAAGCCTCCCATCCCCTTAGATTTTCCTCCTTTTTCCTGAGGTCCCCTGAACCTAATAGTCTGTAACCTTATTCCATGTCTGGGTCAACAAACCACCTTCCAAGGAGGACTTGAATATAATAATCCGTTTCCTCTGCATTCCTCCAGAACACAGAGTCCACACCATCCATGAGTCTGTCAAACAAAACATTCCTCATTGGTCTCAATGTTGAGCACTGAAAGTTCTCTGAGCTCATTTAGCACCAACTCATCATCCTTAAAATCCACAGGATGGGCCGGGTGCAGTGACCCATGCCTGTGACTACAACACCTTGGGAGGCCAAGGGGCAGATCTCTTGAGCCCAGGAGTTCAAGACCAGCCTGGGAAACATGGTGAGACACCTTCTCTACAAAAAAAAATTTTTTTTTTTGAGACGGAATCTCACTCTGTCGCCCAGGCTGGAGTGCAGTGGTGCAATCTCGGCTCGCTGCAACCTCCGCCTCCAGGGTTCAAGCGACTCTCTGCCTCAGCTCCCGAGTAGCTGGGATTGCAGGCATCCACCACCATGCCCAGCTAATTTTTGTATTTTTAGTAGAGACAGGGTTTTACCACGTTGGCCAGGCTGGTCTCGAACTCCTGACCTCGTGATCTACCCGCCTCAGCCTCCCAAAGTGCTGGGATTACAGGTGTGAGCCACCATGCCCGGCCTACAAAAATTTTTTTAAAAAAATTAGCCAGGAATGGTGGTGTACACCTGTGGTCCCAGCTACTTGGGAAGCTGAGATAGGAGGATTCCTTGAGCCCAGGAGGTTGAGGCTGCACAGTGAGCTGTGATCACGCCACTGTACTCCAGCCTGAGCAATAGTGAGACCTTATCTCAGAAAACAAACAAAACAACCAAAAATATCCATAGGATGAAACATATGTTTGATTATGACAACTTGCTTATGGTACCTTCTGGATGGCCCAGCTCCCTTGCAGATCCCCAGACCAACAGCTTTTGTTGTAGTGACAGCTTCTTCTTGTAACCTCTTTTTTTTTTTTTTTTTTTTTTTGAGATGGAATTTCACTCTTGTTGCCCAGGCTGGAGTGCAATGACATGATCTCGGCTCACTGCAGCCTCTGCCTCCAGGGTTCAAGCGATTCTGCTGCCTCAGCCTCCTGAGTAGCTGGAACTACAGGTATGCACCACCATGCCCGGCTAATGTTTGTATTTTTAATAGGGACGGTGTTTTGCCATGTTGGCCAGGCTGGTCTCAAACTCCTGGCCTCAGGTGATCCACCTGCCTCAGCTTCCCAAAGTGCTTGGATTACAGGCGTGAGCCACTGCACCTGGCCTACAGCCTCTAATTTCATTTTCATCCAAAAGCTTTAATGGAAGGCCCACAGATTCCCTCTTCAAGTAACAGCAAAGCGCATCTCCTTTAAGATTTCTTTGATCATCTTCATAAAGCTTGACTTTGAAGTCTTCTGAGGATTTCTCCTGGAGGCAAACCAGATATATAGACATTTGTATTTCTGTCTTCTTCAACATGAAATTATCCTCATTCCATTTTTCTTTTATCTCCCCTGTTTTTAGGATCAGTGGGTTTGGGGGGTTTTCTTTGCAGAAATTCTGCATTCCTAGCATTGACATTTTGTACATTTGCAGGAGAGCTAGATGCCCCACCATTAGAAAAGCCACACTTGGCTGGGTATGTAGCAATGAAACCTTCAGTGGCCTTGGGAAACCACGCCTTCTTGTCCAGATCCCACTCATTGTGGGAGTCAGTTGGCTGCTGCCCTAAATAACCCGTTTGTCACTGAGATCTTCTTGTCTGTTGCAGTCCTTAGTGTCTCCATATAATTTATGCATTCACAACTGCTCATCAAGTCATCATTATCATCCACTTCATGTTTCCTACCTAGCCAGGGGCAGGGTTCAGGTAATCAAAGAGGCTGCTCTGCTGGGCCTGCAAGGCTCCACCAAGTGTGTCTGAGGTGACAGCCCAAGCACTGTTATAAATATTTGCGCACTGTTGTAAACATTTGCATTAGTCCCTTCTCGCACTGCTATAAAGAAATACCTGAAACTGGGTAACTTATAAAGAAAAGAGGTTGCCGGGCGCGGTGGCTCATGCCTGTAGTCCCAGCACTTTGGGTGGCTGAGGCAGGTGGATCACTTGAGGTCAGGAGTTTGAGACCAGCCTGGCCAATATGGTGAAACCCCGTTTCTACTAAGAATACAAAAATTAGCCGGGCATGGTGGCCAGCACCTGTAATCCCAGCTACTTGGGAGGCTGAAGCAGGAGAATCACTTGATCCGGGGAGGCAGAGGTTGCAGTGAGCCAAGATCATGCCACTGCACTCCAGCCTGGGTGACAGAGCAAGACTCCGTCTCGGAAAAAAAGAAAAGAAAAGATGTTTGCTGGGCACAGTGGCTCATGCTTGTAATCCTAGCAGCACTTTGGGAGGCTGAGGCCGGAGGGTTAATCACTTGAGCTCAAGAGTTTGAGACCAGCCTGGGCAACATGGCAAAAACCCGTCTCTATAAAAAATTCAAAACTTAGCTGGGTATGGTGGCATGTGCTTGTGGTTCTAGCTACTTGGGGAGCTGAGGTGGGAGAATTGCTTCAGACCAGAAGGTAGAGGCTACAGTGAGCTGTGATTGCGCCACTGCCTGGGCGACAGAGCAAGACCCTATCTCAAAAAAAAAAAGAGGTTTAATTGGCTCATGGTTCTGTGGGCTGTACAGGAAGCATGATGCTGGCATCTGCTTGCCTTCTGGGGAGGTCTCCAGAAACTTACAATTATGGCAGAAGGCAAAGGAGGAGCGAGCCTTCTCACATGGCAGGAGCCGAGAGAGAGGGAGGAGGTGCGGCACACTTTTAAACAACCAGAGCTTGCCAGAACTCTCTATCATGAGAACAGCACCAGGAGGATGGTGCTAAACCATTCGTGAGAATCCACTCCCATAATCCAACCACCTCTCACCAGGCTCCACCTCCAACACTGGGACTACATGAGATTTGGTGGGGACACAGATCCAAACCATATCAACATTTAACACATTGCATCTTTGAATTGTCACAGCAACCCTGTGAGGTGGGTACTAGTGTTATCCCCATTTTACAGAGAGGAAATTGATGCCCAGAGACCTTGCCAAGGTTATAGACAGGACAGTTAGTGCATGACAAAGCTGGAATTGGAATGCAGCTAGTTCTGCTTTAGAAGCCACTTTCTTGCCTGCCTTTCTTTCTTTATTTCTTTATCTTTTCTTTCTTTCTCTCTCTCTCCTTCCTTCCTTCCTTCCTTTTCTTTCTTTTCTTTTCTTTTTTTTTTTTTTTTTGAGACAGGGTCTGGCTTTGTTGCTCAGGCTGGAGTGTGGTGGCACCATCTTGGCTCACTGCAACCTCCACCTTCTGGGCTCAAGTCATCCTCCTACCTAAGCTTCCCAAGTAGCTGGGATTACAGGTGCATACCACCACACCTGGCTAATGTTTGTATTTTTTTTAGTAGAGATGGGGTTTCACCATGTTTGCTAGGCTGGTCTTGTACTCCTGGCCTCCCAAAGTGCTGGGATTAGAGGCGTGAGCTATTGCACCCCGCCTGAAGCTACATTCTTTTTTTTTTTTTTTTTAATGAGACGAGTCTTGCTCTGTCCCCCAGGCTGGAGTGGTGCAGTGGCGTGATCTTGGCTCACTGGAACCTCCGCCTCCCGGGTTCAAGCAATTCTCCTGCCTCAGCCTCTCGAGTAGCTGGGATTACAGGCACCTGCCACCACTCCTGGCTGTTTTTTCTATTTTTAATAGAGACGGGGCTTCACCATATTGGCCATGCTGGTCTCAAACTCCTGACCTCAAGCGATCCGCCTGCCTTGGCCTTCCAAAGTGCTGGGATACAGGCATAAGCCATCGTGCCTGGCCAAGGCTACATTCTTAAACGCCACTTTTTACAGCTTCCAAGAAACTAACTGGGTGAAATCCAGCCTGCCTCCTGTCCTTGTTTTTATCATTTCATAGTGAAAACATAAACTCCCAAGCCCACCTACTCTATTGCACTGTGTCTCCATGACACTCTGTACCTTCTGGCTCTGACTCAGCCCTCCACTTTCCCCCTCCCTAACCTGCCTGTGCCCTCTAATAAACTGCAGCCCCCCTCATACCCTTAGCTTCTCCTTGGAGCATTCCCTCCACTTCCTGGCGTTAAGTGAAATTTAACTCTCCCTTGAGGGCACTACCTCCTTTGCAGGCTTCTGAAATGAGAGCTGTTGATTTTCTTACAGCTGAGGGTGCTCTCCTGGCTTCAGATTGCTGCCTCCGGACTACTCCTCCCCCAGCCCCCAACTCTAGTTTAAAATAACCCGCGGCCTTCCAGGCACTGCAATTAGGCTAAACTTTCCTCTTCCTTTCTCACTGCTACTGTCTGCCAGACCCCTCCACCTCACTCAGGGGAACGCTGGCCCAGCTGACCGTCTGTCTTTGCATTGAGTCCTCCCTCTGGGAGACTTCATTGTCCACCTGGAGGATCCATTCCCTACTTGACCTCTCAATAACCTGGCCACTTAATCCCCAAGAATCTTCTCCTCTCCAACTCGGCCACACATTCTCATTGTCATACCCTGGACCTTATCACCTGAAAGAGCCCCTCCTTGAGAATCAGTCAAGCAGCCTGCTCTTGGCCCCCACCTCCTAACCGTCTGTCCATCAGTCTGTCTGCCCTCCTCGCAACCAATTTTCAGTCTCCTAGGACCTTTGGATCAATGATGCCTTCCGTCTTCCAGCTTATGAGCCCCTCCCTATTCAGCTCAACTCCACAACCCTTCATTTCAACACCTCTCTGGACAATATCGCCAACTCCCCTTCCCCTCTGTATTTTCATCCTTTGTACCCAAGTGGCAAAACCCCAACCCTGGATGAGCCCAGTGATCTGTTTTCTTCAGGATTTTACTCTGATAGCCAAGAACTGTTGGTGGTGGTGGGGGAAATCACACAATCAGGAAATGGTTCCCACTCCTCACTCATGATCATGAACTCTAAGGAGGCTCCCAGAATTGTTTAGTGGCCCAACCACATCACTCTGGTCAATGGCTACGTTAAACCTCCCTGATCCTTGAACCTCTGAGGCTCTTCTGTCTCTCACCTCATGCTCACTTGATGACCTCCCTCTTATGTCACAGAGAAAATGAAAGTCATCAGAGGTGAGCTCCCTCAACCATCTGTCACCAGATCCACACCCCTCCAAGAGGAACACAATGCATGCAGCGCATGTACCTTGATTTGATCCTGATTTGAAATATATGCATAGGCTGGATGCAGTGGCTCACGCCTGTAATTCCAGCACTTTGCTTGAGCTCAGGAGTTCAAGGCAGGTGGATTACTTAAGCTCAGGAGTTCAAGACCCACCTGGGCAACAGAGAAAAACCCTGTCTCTACAAAAAAAAAAAATACAAAAATTAGTCAGGTGTGGTGGGTCACACCTAAATAGTAGTTCCAGCTACTTAGGAGGCTGAGGTGGGAGGATCACTTGAGCCTGGGAGGTGGAGGTTGTAGTGAGCTGTGATTGCACTGCTGCACTCTAGCCTGGGTGACAGTGAGACCCAGTCAAAAAAGAAAGAAGGAAAGGGAGGAGAGAGAGAAAGGAAGGAAGGAAGGAAGGAAAAACAGAAGAAAGGAAGGAAAGAAATTAAAAAGAAAGATATATATATATAAATATATATATAAAAGACATTTTGAGGCTAACTGGGGAATATTTGAGTATATTCTGCTATCAGATGAAGTGAAGAAATGATCGTTATTTTCTAATTTTGTTTTTTTTTTTGAGACTGAGTCTTGCTCTGTCACCAGGCTGGAGGTCAGTGGCGCAATCTCAGCTCACTGCAACCTGTCCCTACTGGGTTCAAGCAATTCTCCTGCCTCAGCCTCCCAAGTAGCTGGGATTATAGGTATGCACCACCACGCCCGGCTAATTTTTGTATTTTTAGTAGAGACGGGGTTTCACCATATTGGCCAGGATGGTCTCAATCTGTTGACCTTGTGATCCTCCTGCCTCAGCCTCCCAAAATGCTGGGATTACAGGTGTGAGCCACCGTGCCTGGCCATGATCATTATTTTCTTAGCTGTGATTACGTATTGTGGTTATGGAATCTCCTTATTTTTGGGAGATGCATGCTGAGGTACTTAGGTGTGAAGCACATGCTTTCCTATATTTTCATATGGTCCAAGAATGTTTTAGTAGTCACTCAACAATTTCTATGTTTAAAAAAAAAAAAAAAGGGCTGGGCACAGTGGCTCATGCCCGTAATCAATCCGAGCACTTTGGGAGGCTGAGGCAGGCGGATCACCTGAGGTCGGAAGTTCAAGACCAGCCTGACCAACATGGAGAAACCCCATCTATAGTAAAAATACAAAATTAGCTTGGCGTGGTGGCGCATGCCTGTAATCACAGCTACTCGGGAGTCTGAGGCAGGAGAATTGCTTGAACCCAGTAGGCGGAGGTTGCGTACAGCCGAGATCGCGCCATTGCACTCCAGCTTGGGCAACAAGAGCGAAATTCCATCTCAAAACAAAAAACTAAAAACAAGCCCACAAAGACGTATATAGGCCTTGGCACTGTGGCTCATGTCTGTAATCCCAGAACTTTGGGAGGCCAAAGCAAGAGGATCACCTGAGTCCAGTTTGAGACCAGCTGGGCAACAAGGCGATACCTTGTCTCTACAAAAAATTTAAAAATTAGCCGGGCATGGTGCCATGCACCTGTGGCCCCAGTTACTTGAGAGGCTGAGGTGGGAGGATCGCTTGAGCCCAAAAGTTTGAAGCTGAGATGAGCTATGATCAGGTCACTGCACTCCACCCTGTGCGATGAAGTGAGACCCTGTCTTGGAAAAAAAAAAAAAAGAACCATATATATATGTGTGTGTATATATATATGTTTGTATATATATAATATATAAATATTTGTATATATGTATAAATAACAATTGTTAAATCTAAGTAAAATGATCGACATACAAACAATATTGTATTATATTTTCAAGTTTTCTGTATGTTTGAAATTTTTCATAATAAAAAAACTGGGCAAAATTCTCTCACTTCCACTCACTGCTCGACCCTTTCAGGCTGGTGTTTATCTCTACCTTGCTGCTACTCAAATGTTTTTTTGCAATGAACTTTATGTCATTAAGTCCATTGTTTCGTTTTCTTCTTACTTGAACTGCCACTAGTAGCTGACGTTGCTGGCCAGTTCTTTCTTGAAACACTGTCGTTTTTTGGCCTCCAGGATTTGGCCTCTTCTGGCTTCCTCCCATCCCTCCATCGGCTGCTCTTCCACCCCTCAGCCGGCTCACTCCGCCTTTGACTGAAATCACCTGGTCATATTGGAGTTCATCAAGAGAGGTCGGTCCTGGACCCTCCTCTTCTTATGCTACCCTTTCCTTCTAGGGGATCACACCTGTCCTGTGGCTTCAGTTCCCATCAGCTGGTTACTCTCAAATTTATCTCTTGCCTCAAATCTCCAGATTTGACCACCTTCCTGCCTGGCATCCCTACTTGGATGTCCCAAAGGTATTACTAACTTAGCTTTTTTTTTTTTTTTTTTGGGAGACAGAGTTTCGCTCTTGTTGGCCAGGCTGGGGTGCAGTGGCAAGACCTTGGCTCACTGCAACCTCCGCCTCCTGGGTTCAAGTGATTCTCCTACCTCAGCCTCCGGAGTAGCTGGGATTACAGGCATCCGCCACGACACCCGGCAAACTTTTTGTATTTTCAGTAGAGATGGGGTTTCACCATGTTGGCCAGGCTGGTCTCAAACTCCTGACCTCAGGTGATCCACCTGCCTCAGCTTCCCAAAGTGCTGGGATTACAGGCATGAGCCACGGTGCCCAGCTTAACTTAGCATATTTGAAACAGAAGTCATGATCTTCCCACAGAAGCAGTATCATCCTCAGATCTGAACCACAGGGGCCCTGCCCTGGCCCACATACTTTAGGGGGATTCACCTATCACAAACAACTTATCACACACATTTATTACATGACACCTGGGCACCTCTGTCACTGATCTGCTGTCAGTGCTGGAACAGCACAACCTGAAATCTTACACATCTGCTCTTGTAATCAACGCCGTTCAAGCCCTGGGGAATGGTGACTTCTGTAATCTCTTGCCCTGTATCCTGGAAACAAAAGATGACTATAGCCAATTCTGTGAAAATCTGAGGTTGTGCCTCTGCCTGGATTCTGAAGCATGTACTGCTTTGGAGTGTAGGGAGGATTTAAGCAGTGGAAACATGTAAGTGAAATCACTTTAACCAGCTTGTTAAATATTACCTCTCAAATAGCATGACAAAGTATCATTTCCCAATAGTGTTGAGTGTGGTTTTTCTTGTTTCTCTTTGTTTTAGAGGTATGGATGTATGTTGTGCTGCATTTACAACAGTTGCAAAGGATAGCTGAGGAACATGTTGCTGTATTAAACAATCCTTATTACTGTTAAATTTATATGCATGTGGTGGGAGGGGTGGTGAGGGATAAAAAACTACACATTTACAGTGTACACTCCTCCTGTGATGGGGGCACCAAAATCTCAGAAATCACCACTAAATAACTTATTCATGTAACTGAACACCACCTGTTCCCCAAAAGCCTATTGAAAAAAAAATTGAATACATGTAGGTCTAGATATAACTCTTGTGAAGTATGATATTGATTCTCTATGTTGTAATAGATGGACATTGAATACGAGATTATGAATACAATCATCCTCAGTATTCACCAGGGATTGATTCCAAAACCCCCACTGATGTTCAAACCCCTTGTATAACATGGCATAGTATTTGCATATAACCTATGCACATTCTTCCACATACTTTAAATCATCCCTAGGTTATCTATGGTGCCTATCGCAATGTAAATGCTGTATAAATATATGTTATACTGTATTTTTTATTTGTATTATTTTTTCTTTCTTTCCTTCCTTCCTTCCCTTCCCTTCCTTCCTTCCTTCCTTCCTTCCTTCCTTCCTTTCTTTCTTTCTGACAGTCTTGCTGTGTCACCCAGGCTGGAGTGCTATGGCAGGATATCAGCTCACTGCAAACTCTGCCTCCCAGGTTCACGCCATTCTCCTACCTCAGCCTTCCAAGTAGCTGGGATTACAGGTGCCCGCCACCATGCCCGGCTAATTTTTTTGCATTTTTAGTAGAGATGGGGTTTCACCGCGTTAGCCAGGATGGTCTTGATCTCCTGACTTTGTGATCCACCCGCCTTGACCTCCCAAAGTGCTGGGATTACAGGCGTGAGCCACCGCGCCCGGACTGGCCATATATATTTTAAAAATATTTTTATTCTTCAGTTGGTTGAATCCATAGGTGTGGACCTACAGATACAAAATGCCAACTGTAGTTTAATTTTTATAAAACTATCTGTCTTAGTCCATTCAGACTGCTATAACAAAATACCTTACACTGAGCAATTTATAAATAATAAACACTGCTTACAGTTCTGGAGGCTAGAATGTCCAAGCAGGTGGTGCCAGCAGATTTGGTAGCCAGTGAGGGCACACTTTGCTTCATAGATGGCGCCTTCTTGCTGCATCTTCACGGGTGGAAGGGGCAAACAAGCTCCTTTGGGCCTCTTTTTTTTAAGACAGGGTCTCGCTGTGTCACCTAGGCTAGAGTGCAGTGGCGTGATCTCGGTTTACTGCAAGCTCTGCCTCCAGGGTTCAAGTGATTCTCTTGCCTCAGCCTCCTGAATAGCTGGGATTACAAATGCCTGCCACCATGACTGGCTAATTTTTGTTTTTAGTAGAGATGGGGTTTCTCCATGTTGACCAGGCTTGTCTTGAACTACCGACCTCAAATGATTAGCCCGCCTGAGCCTCCCAAAGTGCTAGGATTACAGGCATGAGCCACCACACCCAGCCTGGGCTTCTTTTATAACGGCATTAATCCCATTCATGAGGACAGGCCCCTCATGACCTAATCACCTTCTAAAGGCCCCATCTCTTAATATCACCACATTGGGGATTAGGTTTCAATTTATGAATTTTAGGGGGGCACAAACATTTATGCCATAGCAATACATAATAAAAATTAATAAATATGTATATATTTTTTTGAGACAGGGTCTCACTCTGTCACCAGGCTGGAGTGCAGTGGCACAATCATGGCTCACTACAGCCTCAACCTCCCAGGCTCAGGCAATCCTTCTACCTCAGCCTCCAGAGTAGCTGAGGCCACATATGTGTGCCACCATGCCCGGCTAAGTTTTCTATTTTTTGTAGAGATGGCATTTCACCATGTTGCCCAGGGGGGTCTCAAAACACTGGGCTCAAGCAGTCTGCCCACCTTGACCTCCCAAAACACTGGGATTTCAGGTGTGAGCTACTGGGCCCAGCCCAAAATTTCAAAAAAAAGCAGGCAAAAAGTCAGCTTTATCTAAATGTGTTTGATTTAAAATATTGATGTGTATTCATTATCATTTATATTTTGTCCAGATGCCGTGTCTCATGGCTGAGATTCCAGCACTTTGGGAGGCTGAGGTGGGAGGATCACTCGAGCTCAGAAATTTGAGACCAGCCTGGACAACATAGTGAGACCATCTCTCTACAAAAACTAAAAAAATTAGCTGGGTGCGATGGCTCATGCCTGTAATCCCAGCACTTTGGGAGGCCAAGGCGGGTGGATCACTTGAGGTCAGGAGTTCGAGACCAGCCTGGCCAACATGGTTAAACCCCACGTCTACTAAAAATACAAAAAATTAGCAGAAGAATGCTTGAACCCATATGTATACATGTATATATACATATGTGTATGTGTATGTTTATATATATATGTATATGATACAAAATTAGCCAGGTGTGGCAGCACACACCTGTAGTCCCAGCTATTTGGGAGGCTGAGATGGGAGGATCACTTGGACCTGGGAGGTCAAAGCTGCAGTGAACTGGGATCATGGCACTGTACTCCAGCCTGGGTGACAACGTGAGATCCTGCCAAAAAAAAAAAGGAAAAATAAAAAGAGTGATTTTACAGAAAAATTGAGATTTTCAATTTATCACGGCAGTGCCAGCTCTGAATTCCTATGCGGCAACGCTGGACCAGGAGCTGCTGCCCCTCTAGGAGGGGAGGGTGCCCTCCAGCCTGTTATAGCCTTCCCTTGGCACTTGGCACATTACTTGCCTGGCCCTTACAGGAATTTGAGGTGCAAATTGATCTAGATCATTGAAGGAAGAGTCTGGGTCTTCTCAGTTTTGGGGCACTTTCGTTGCCAAGTAAGGTTCTTATGAGATTTTTAGAAGTTGAGATTAAAAAAGAGTTTATATGCAGCTGGAGGTGATACCTAACAACAACCATAATAACAGCATCAACAACAAAAACAGTAGCCTAGAGCAGTTACTCTAAGCCAGGTAAGTGTTCTAAAGCACTTCACACAACTTATTTACTCTCACGACAATGCTATTAGGTAGCACTTTGAATATACACATTTTGTAGGTGAGGAAATTGGGGCATGTAGCTGTTAAGATTTATATCAGCCGGGCGTGGTCACTCATGCCTGTTCCCAGCACTTTGGGAGGCCAAAGCGGGCGGATCACGAGGTCAGGAGTTTGAGACCAGCCTGACCAACATGGTGAAACCCCGTCTCTACTAAAAATACAAAAATTAGCTGGACATGGTGGCGGCTGCCTGTGATCCCAGCTATTCAGGAGGCTGAGGCAGGAGAATCGCTTTAATCTGGGAGGCGGAGGTTGCAGTGAGCTGAGATCATGCCACTGCGCTCCAGCCTGAGTGACAGTGAGACTCTGTCTCAAAAAAAAAAAAAAAAAAAAGATTTATACCAATTTATACCGTCCAATAGGAGGCGTGAGACTCAACACAGGGCGGAGGAGAGAATAGGTCAGGAAATCACATCTCTCCACCTGCACAGCCACCATCATTGTACCCTTCTAAAGAGACTGGCAACAACTTTCATTCAGCACTGTCCCATTGATTGGCTCATTTCATGATCACAGCAACCCAGTTAAGCAAATCCTCACCTTTGCATCGCCTGCTTTGTATCACTTTTCTTTAAAATTAAAAATAAAAAAAATGGATTACAAATTCGGTTAACGCCCATCCCATTTCTCTCCTTCCTTGTAGTAATTATCATTCTAAAGTTGTTGGGAATTATTCCCATGCGTACTTTGCACTTTTAAAAAATGTTTGCTTTCCTAAACATATACCACTGTTTTGTGTATTTTAAAACTCACACAAATAATATCATACAACATCCATTTTTGCAAGTTTCTTACTCATTACATTGCTAAATATGTCTATAATTCATTTAACTGCCGTATAGTATCCCATTATAAGAACAAACCATACTTTATTTATCCATTTTACTTAACAACAGTTAGCTTATTTCCACTTCTTCTTGACAATTAACTGATACTGCAATGACCATTTTTATCCTCGCCTTTTTGTGCATGTGTAGAAATGTTTTTCTAAGGAATAGATCTAGAAGCAAGATTGCTGGGTCATAGGGAATATTCATTTTCAGCATTAACTGGTGCCAAAATTCTCTTCAAATTTGTTGTATCTGTTTACACTTCAACACAAAATATATGCATTCCTATTGTCCCACATTTTTGTCAACAGTGTTAGAATAATTTTAATTTTGGTGATTTTGTGGGTGTAAAATGGTAACTCGCGCTGTGATTTGCATTTCTACATTACTGGTTAAATTGAGCATCTTTTCTTATGTTTATTGACCATTAGGTTTCTCTTTTGTGACTCACCTATTCACAGCTTTTGCTCATATTCTCTTGCGTTGTCCTTTTCATATGGATCTGCAACTTCTTTATGAATCCTGGATATAATCCTTTGTTGTTTATGTAGATTGTGAATATTCTCTAAGTCTGTGGCTTGTCTTTTACTTTACGTGATTTCTTTTTTTTTTTTTTTTGAGACGGAATCCTGCTCTGTCGCCCAGGCTGGAGTGCAGTGGCACAATCTCGGCTCGCTGCAAGCTCCGCCTCATGGGTTCACGCCATTCTCCTACCTAAGCCTCCCGAGTAGCTGGGACTACAGGCACCCACTACCACGTCCAGCTAATTTTTTTGTATTTTTGGTAGAGACGGGGTTTCACCATGTTGGCCAGGATGGTCTCAATCTCCTGACCTTGTGATCCACCCGCCTTGGCCTCCCAAAGTGCTGGGATTACAGGCTTGAGCCATCGCGCCCGGCCTATGTGATTTCTTATAAAAGCTTAAAAATGTTTTAACGTGGTCATATGTATCAATATTTTCCTTTATTGCTTGTGCATTTATTTATAGTCGACAAATAAAAATTGTATCTATGGTGTAACAACATGATGTGTGTATATATATGTGTGTGTGTGTGTGTGTGTGTGTAATGGCTAGAGTAATTACTGTATCTGTTATCTCACATACTATCATTTTAAACGTGATATTTGAAATGTACTCTCCTAGCAATTATTTTTATTTTTATTTTTTTTTTGAGACAGGATCTTGCTCTGTCGCCCAGGCTAGAGTGCAGTGGCAAGATTATAGCTCACTGCAGCCTGGACCTCCCAGGCTCAAGTGATTTTCTCTTCTCAGCCTCCCAAGTAGCTGGGACTACTGGCACGTGCCACCACATCCTGCTAATTTTTTCAATTTTTTGTAGAGACAGGGTCTCACTATGTTACCTAGGCTAGTCTTGAATTCTTGGGGTCAAGCAATCAAGCAATCGGCATCCCGAAATGCTAGGATTACAGGCATGAGCCACTGCGCCCAGCTAATTTTTGTATTTTTTTTAGAGATGGGGTCTCACCATGTTGCCCAAGCTGGTGTCGAACTGGTCTCAAGCGATCCACCCACCTCAGCCTCCCAAAGTGCTGGGTTTACAGACATAAGCCACTGCAGCTGGCCAGCAATTTTCAAGTATACAATACATTGTTATTAACTCTAGTCATCATGTTATACAATAGATCTCCTGAATTTATTCTACCTAACTGAAATTTTGTATCCTTTGACTAAAGCTCTCCAATCCCTGCCCACACCCGCCCCCCGCCCCCTAGCCCCTGTGCAGCCACCATTCTATTCTCTGCTTCTGCAATTTTATTTTATTTATTTATTTTTTTAAATTTATTTTGAGACAGGGTCTCACTCTGTTGTCTGGGTTGGAGTCCAGAGGTCTGATCACAGCTCACTGCAGCCTCAAACTCTTGGATTCAAGAGATCCTCCTGCCTCAGCCTCCCGAGTAGTTGGGACTACAGGCACGTGCCACCATGCCTGGCTGAGTTTGACTCTTTAGGTTCCACATGTAAATGAAATCATGGTATTTGTCTTTCTGTGCCTGGTTTATTTCATTTAGCATAATATCCTCTAGTTTTATCCATGTTGTCACAGATGACAGAATTTCCTTCTTTTTAAAGACTGAATAGTATTCCATTGTGTATATGTTCCATAATCTCTCTATTTATTCATTGATGGACACTTAGGTTGTTTCCATGTCTTGGCTATTGTGAATAATGGTGCAGTGAACTTGGGAATACAGATATCTCTTCAACATACTGAGTTCATTTCTTTTGAAATATACCTGATAATGGAACTACTGGATCACATGGTAGTTTTAATTTTTTGAGGAAGCTCCATTCTGTTTTCCAAAATAGGTGTACAAATTTACATTCCTACCAACAGTTTGTGAGGGTTCCTTTTTCTCCACATCCTTGCCACCACTTGTAATCTCTTGGTTTATTTTTATTTTTTTTATCAGAGCCATCTTAGCAGGTATGAGGTGATATCTCACTGTGGTTTAAATGTTCATTTCCTTGATAATTAGCAATATTGAGCATTTGTTTTTCATATACCTGTTGGCCATTTATGTGTCTTCTTTTGAGAAATGTTTTTTCAGATCATTTGCCCATTGTAAAATCAGATTTTTGGCTGGATGCAGTGGCTTATGTTTGTAATTCCAGCACTTTGGGAGGCCAAGGCAGGAGGATCACTTGAGCCTAGGAGTTCAAGATAAATCTGGGCAACATAGGGAAACCCTGTCTCTACAAAAAAATTTTAAAAATTAGCAGGGCACGGTGGGGTGTGCCTGTGGTCCCAGCTACTTGGGAAGCTGAGGTGGGAGGATTGCTTGAGCCTGGGAGTTGAAGGCTGCAGTGAGTTATTATTGCGGCACTGTATTCCAGCCTGAGCAACAGGGTGAGACCCCAACTTAAAGAAAAAAAATCAGATTTTTGGTTTTCAACAACTCTTGCTATTAAGTTTCTTATAAAAATATTCACCCCTTATCAGATGTATAGTTTACAAATATTTTGTCCCTTTCCGTAGGTTGTCTGTTGATTGTTTCCTTTGCTGTTCAGAAGCTTTCATTTGATGCAATCTCATTTGTCCAAAAAAATTATTGCCCAGACCAATGTCAAGAAGCCAAGATCATGCCACTGCACTCCAGCCCAGCAACAGAGCGAGACTCCATCTCAAAAAAAAGATCTGAAATTGTAAAAATACTAGAAGAAAATATAGGAGAAAAGCAATTCTCCTGCCTCAGCCTCCTGAGTGGCTGGGACTACAGGTGTGCACCACCACACCCAGCTGATTTTTGTATTTTTAGTAGAGATGGGGCTTCACCATGTTGGCCAGGATGGTCTCAATCTCTTGATCTTATGATCCACCTGCCTTGGCCTCCCAAAGTGCTGGGATTATAGGTGTAAGCCACCGCACCCCGCCATTTCAGATCTTATGTTTAAGTCTTTAATTCATTTTGAGTAGTTTTTTTTTTTTTTTTTTTTTTTTTTTGGAGGCAGTCTCTCTCTGTTCTTCAGGCTGGAGTGCAGTGGTGTGGTCTTGGCAACCTCTGCCTCCCAGATTCAAGTAATTCTTGTGCCTTAGCCTCCTGAGTAGCTGGGACTATAGGTGTGTGCCACCACCCCTGGCTAATTTTTGTGTTTTTGGTAGGTTTCACCATGTTGGCCAGGCTGGTTTCGAACTCCTGGCCTCAAGTAACCCATTGGCCTTAGCCTCCCAAAGTGCTGGGATTACAGATGTGAGCCACTATGCCTGGCCTGAGTTGATTTTTGTATATGAGGTGAGATATGGTCAAATTTTATTCTTCTACATGTGGATATCCAGTTTCCCCAGGACTGTTTATTGAGGAGACTGGTCCTTTCCCCATTGTATGTTCTTGGCATATTTGTAAAGGATCAGTTGGCCATAAAATGTGTGGATTTATTTTTGGCCTCTATTCTGGTCTTATATGTCTGTTTTTGTTCCAGAACCATGCTGTTTTTATTACTATAGCTTTGTGGCAGCTTCTGAAATTAGGTAGTGTGATGGCTCTAGCTTTGTTCCTTTTGTTCAAGATTGCTTTGGCCATTTTGGTCCTTGTCTTTTGTGGTTCCATATGAATCTTAGGATTTTTTTTCTATTTCTGTGAAAATGTCATTGGAATTTTGATAGAGGTTGGATGGAATCTACAGTTTGGGGTAGTGTGGACATTTTAACAATATTAATCTTTCCAATCCATTAACATGGAATATCTTTCCATTTATTTGTGTCTTTAATTTCTTTCTTCAATGCTTTATGGTTTTCAGTGTACAGATTTCTCACCTCTTTGATTAAATTTATTCCTAAGTATATATTTTTGATGCTATTATAAATGTGATTGCTTTCTTGATTTCTTTTTTGGTTGGTGCATTATTAGTATACAGTAATGCTACTGACTTTTGAATATTGATTTTGTATCCTGCAACTTTACTGAATTTATTAGTTCTAATAGTTTTTTTGGTGGTATCTTTAGGGATTTCTCTATATAAGATCATGTCATCTACAAAGTGACAATTTAACTTCTTTCTTTCCAATTTGGATGCCTAGGGAGCATCAGTGGCTCAAGCCAGCTGTCCTGGTGCACAGGGAGGCGAGGCTATGAGTTCGAGGCCAACCTGGTCAACATTGACCAATTTGGATGTCTTGTATTTCTTTCTCTTGCCTATCTGTTCTGACTAGAACTTCTAGTACTATATTGAATAGAAATGGTGAGAATGGTTATCCTTGTCTTGTTCCTGATCTTAGAGGAAAATCTTTTAACTTTTCATGATTATGTATGATGTTAGCTGTGGGTTTGTCATATATGGGCTTTATTGTGTTGAGATACACTTTTTCTATACCTAATTTGCTAAGAATTTGTATCATGAAAGGATGTTAAATTTTGTCAAACGCCTTTCCCCCATCTATTGATATAATCATATAGTGTTCTTCATTTTGTTAACTGCTTGTACTTTTGTACTTTTAAAATTTTGTATAAGAAATCCTTCTCTATTCTGATATCATCAATATGTGATCTTATATTTTCTTTGAATAGTTTTCAGTTTTGCTTTTTACTCTAGCTACCTGAAATTTACTTCTGGGTAGGATGTAATGTAGAATTTATTTTTTGTGTGTTTGTTTGGATAGCCAGTTAACTCAAAACCATTGAACTTTCCCACTGATTTATGTCACTTCCATTATAGCCAAGTCTCATATCTTTGAGGGTCTGTATTAGTCCATTCTTGCACTGCTATAGATAAATACCTGAAATCAGGTAATTTATAAAGTTTAATTGGCTCATAGTTCCACAGGCTGTATAGGAATCATGGCTGGGGAGGCCTCAGGAAACTTACAATCATGGTGGAAGGTGAAAGGGAAGCAGGCATGTCTTACGTGGCTGGAGCAGGAGGAAGAGAGGGAAGAGGTGCCACACGCTTTTTTTTTTTTTTTTTTTTGAGACAGAGTCTTGCTCTGTTACCCAGGCTGGAATGCAGTGGCACAATCTCAGTTCACTGTAACCTCCACCCTCTGGGCTCAAGCGATCCTCCCACCTCAGCCTCCTGAGTAGCTGGGACCACAGGCATGCATCACCATGCTCGGCTACTATTTTTGTATTTTTGTAGAGATGATGTCTCAGCATGTTGTCCAGGCTGGTCTTGACCTCCTGAGCTCAAGTGATCCTCCTGCCTCAGCCTCCCAAAGTGCTGGGATTATAGGCAAGAGCCACTGCACCTGGCCTCCACACACTTTTAAACAACCGGGTCTCATGATAACTTACTATCATGAGAACTGCACCCAGTGGGAAATCCATTTCCATGATCCAATCACCTCCCACCAGACCCCATCTCCAACAAAGGGGATTACAATTCGACATGAGATTTGGAGAGGGAGGGACACAGATCCAAACCCTATTAGGATCTGATTCAAAAAAGTTTTGTTCTGTACTGTGGTCTATTTATGTGTGCATATACCAGGACTAGACTGTTTTAATCACTCTAAGTTTCAACCAGTAAACTTGTGACATATGGTTAGGCAAGGGATCTCATATTCTTCTGCTTCAAGTTTTGTTTTTTCTTGGCCATTTACTCTTCCATAAGAATTTTAAGGCCGGGTGTGGTGGCTCATGCCTATAATCCCAGCACTTGAGGAGGCCGAGGCGGGCAGATCACGAGGTCAGGAATTCAAGACCAGCCTGACCAACATGGTGAAACCCCGTCTGTACTAAAAATACAAAAAAATTAGCCGGGCGTGGTGGTGCGCACCTGTAGTCCCAGCTACTCAGGAGGCTGAGCCAGGAGAATCACTTGAACCTGGGAGGTGGAGCTTGCAGTGAGCCGAGATCGCGCCATTGCATTCCAGCCTCGGTAACAGAGTGAGACTCCGTCTCAAAAAAAAAAAGAATTTTAAGAACAGTCTGTCAAGTTCCATAAAATATCTGATTGGAGTTTTGCTTAGAATTGTACTGAATTTTTAGATTTGAGAAAAATTATCAGCTTTATATCAAACTTCCGTCTTTGTGAGTAGGGGATCTCTTCCTATTCTTTTATATCTTCTTTATGTTCTCTAATAAAACTTTATAATTTTCTCCATAAATATCATACACAGACTTTGTTATATTTATTCCTAAGTATCTTATGATTTTTGTTATGACAAATGGTATTTTCTTTTCTTTTTTTTTTTTTTTGAGACGGAGTCTCGCTCTGTCGCCCAGGCTGGAGTGCAGTGGCGCAATCTCGGCTCACTGCAAGCTCCGCCTACTGAGTTCACGCCATTCTCCTTCCTCAACCTCCCCAGTTGCTGGGACTACAGGTGCCTGCCAACTCGCCCAGCTAATTTTTTGTATTTTTAGTAGAGACGGGGTTTCACTGTATTAGCCAGGACGGTCTCGATCTGCTGACCTCATGATCCGCCTGCCTTGGCCTCCGGAAGAGCTGGGATTACAGGCGTGAGCCACGATGCCTGGCCTAAAATGAAATCTTTTATCTGTTTATTGCTGTGGTGTAAGGATATTGATGTTTGTGTATTCTCCTTGCCCCCGGCAAGGAAATTGTTATTTCTAATAGTTGGTAGGTTCTTGTGAATTTTCTTTGTATAGTAAGCAATCTATGTATAGTAATTGTCTATGTATAGTGATGGCTTTATTTCTTCTTTTTCTTCTTGTGTCACTTCAGACTTCTTGGCAGAAAGGTGAATAGAAACAGTAAAAACTGGTATCCTTGTCTTGACTTTGGAAGTTACTTTCTATTCCTAGTTAGCTAGATTAAAAAGATTAAAAAAGAAATAGACAGGTTCTCACTATACAGTGGTTATTCACAGCCTCAATCATAGAGCACTACAGCCTCAAACTCCCAGGTTCAACGAACCTTACCACCTTAGCCTCCCAAGTAGCTGGGACTACAGGCACAAGCCACCACACCTGGCTAATTTTTAAATATTTTGTAGTTCACTACAGCACTATTCACAATAGCAAAGACATGGCGTCAACCCAAATGCCTATCAATGAAAGACTAGATAAAGAAAATGTAGTATGCAGCCAGGCGTGGTGGCTCACACTTGTAATCCCAGCACTTAGGAAGCCTGAGGCAGGTGGATCAGGAGTTCGAGACCAGCCTGACCGACATAGTGAAACCCTGTCTCTACTAAAAATACAAAAAAATTAGCCAGGTGTGGTGGCAAATGCCTGTAATCCTAGCTACTCAGGAGGCTGAGGCAGGAGAATTTCTTGAACCCGGGAGGCAGAGGTTGCAGTGAGCTGAGATTGTGCCAATGCGCTCCAGCCTGGGTGACAGAGTGAGACTCTATCTCAAAAAAAAAAAAAAAAAAAAAAAAAAATGCCGGGCACGATGGCTCATACCTGTAATCCCAGAACTTTGGGAGGCCGAGGTGGGCAGATCACAAGGTCAGAAGTTCACGACCAGCCTGGCCAACATGGTGAAATCCTGTCTCTACTAAAAATACAAAAATTAACAGGGTGTGGTGGCACTCGCCTATAGTCCCAGCTACTTGGGAGGCTGAGGCAGAAGAATCGCTTGAACCCAGGAGGCAGAGGTTGCAGTGAGCCGAGATTGTGCCACTGCTCTCCAGCCTGGGTGACAGAGCAAGACACCACCTTAAAAAAAAGAAAAAAGAAAATGTAGTATGCGTACACCATGGAATACTATGCAGCCATAAAAGGGAATGAGATCATGTCCTTTACAGGGATGTGGATGGAACTGGAAGCCACTATCTTCAGCAAACTAACACAGGAACAGAAAACCAAACACCACATGTTCTCACTTATAAGTGGGAGCTGAACGATGAAAACACCTGGACACATGTGGGTGGGGGGAACAATAACCCACTGAAGTCTGTCAGAAGGGGAAGTGGCAGGAGGGAGAGCATCAGGAAGAATAGCTAATGGATACCGGGTTTAATACCTAGGTGATGGGTTGACAGGTGCAGCAAACCATCATAGCACATGTTCACCTATGTAACAAACCTGCACATCCTGCACTTGTACTCCGGAACTTAAAATAAAAGTTGAAAAAATATTTTGTAGAGACGAAGTCTCACTATGTTGCCCAGGCTGGTCTTGAACTTCTGAGCTCAAGCAATCCTCTTGCCTTGGCCTCCCAAAATTCTGGGATTTTAGCAGTGAGCCACTGCACCTGGCCTCCAGTTCTGGATCCTGGGTCTTGCGACATTATTCCATGCTGGCTTCTGAAGTCAATGAGGCAAAACCAGAAAGGGGAACTAAAAAGTTAAAGAGGGAGAGGGTCTCACAGGCAAGATGGAGGAAGCCTGGGATGAAGGCAGGGCTGTGGACCTGAATGATGCCAGGAATTAAGGAGGAAGTAACAGTGTTAGGTAATAGCACATGGGATTCTTGGGCTGCAGCTACAGGAGGGAGAATCATGGCCTTAATTCATCACCTCTGAAATCCTGAAATATCTAGCCTCCTGCCCAGATCCTGCCATGAATGCATCTATTCAACCACTATTTATAAAGTATCCAGTGTTAGGTCCAGGGAGTGGCAAGAGTGAGCATCTGCAGTCATAGTCCCTGCCCTCAGGGAGCTTACATTCAATGGGGCAGACAGACATCAGTCTGTACATAATCATCAACAAATGTAGAACTCCAACAGGGCCAAGTGCCTCTGAGGAAAGGTACACCTTAGTGTGAGCGCTCATAACAGGAGAATTTGACCCTGAAAAGAAGGTCAGGAAGGCTTCCCTGAGGCTATTGAGAAGGTGAGGCCTGAAGAATGAAGAGGAGCTAAGAGGAGAGGAACAGAGGAAGGAGCCTTTCCACAGAGGGTCCAGCCTCCCTGGAGACTCTGTGCAGGAGGAAGCACAAGGTGGACAGCAACTGGAGCACACGAGTGAGGGGGTGTGGTGGGAGATGAGGCTGGAGAGGAGGGGCCACCCCTTGCAGGGCCTTAGAGGTCAGGTTAAGGACTTGGGTCTTTAACCTAAGATCAATGGAAAACCACTGAATAGGTTTAAGGAGGCTGACTGAAACAATCAGATTTGCATTTTTAAAGGATCCCTCTTAGGTGTGTGTCATACTGTAGAGAAGGCCATTCCCAGCCTCTTCAGCTACTGCAATGACTCAGAGAAGGCCACATGGTCCACATGGTGGCTAGCCCAGGGATGTGGAGGGATGAAAACGAGTGGACAGACTTGAGATATATTAGAGCAGATAAAATGGATAGGACTAGGTGCTGGATTCAATATTGAGATGCTCATTCTAAACCGCCCCTACATCAAATCCTTCGAAGGCAGGGGCTATGCCACATGACTATGATACCCAGGTCCCAGAACAACTCCTGACACATGGTAGACTCAATACACATTTCCCGAAAGGGTGGAAATGATTAGCAGTCTCTCAAGTAATCCTTTGACCACTAAGCGTATTTAATTTCTTCTAGCATGTGTCAGTAATCAACCTCCTTGGTACATCATAGGGAGAAATATTGCCGAGTTCCAAAGAGTATACTCTGGGGCAAGTTAATACAAGAATAAGGTCTCACTTACCCTATAACATGAAGAGTAACAGTAAACTCGTAAGAACAGGACCTGGTGAAGCAAGGAGTAGGCACAGGAAGATGGCTCATCAAATAGGGGCGCCGGGTGTAGTGTGAACACCTGAGGCAGGAAGAACCCAGTAGCCTCTGGGGGTTGGGTGGGATTAGTTGGGGGACTAGGATTTGATGGTAGGGGGTTGTCCTGGAGATCTCTGGAAATTAAGTTATCTATTTTTTTTCTGTTTTTATTTTTATAAAAGAACTCTTAAGGGCATTTTTTTCTTTGTTTGTTCTGTTTTGAGGTAGAGGTTCACTCTGTCGCCCAGGCTGGAGTGCAGTGGCGTGATCTCGGCCACTGCAAACTCCGCCTCCCAGGTTCAAGTGATTCTCATGCCTTAACCTCCTGAGTAGCTGGGATTACAGGCATGGGCCACCACGCCTTGCTAATTTTTGTGTTTTTTGTATAGCCAGGGTTTTGCCAGGTTTGGTCAGGCTGGTCTTGAACTCCTGGCCTCAAGTAATCCACCTACCTTGGCTTCCCACAGTGTTGGAATTACAGCCATGAGCCATCATGCCCAGCCTAAGCTATCACTTTAAAATGACCCTTCAAGAAAGTCCCAAGGAGTCTAATCCATCCACGACAACAGCACGTCTGAGACAGCCTAGTGAAATTTCTCCGATGGAGGACAGGAGATGGAAAAGTGCCCCAGGACCTCTTATTTATATAAAAAACAAAATTTTTTAAGACCCTGAGAAGTATGGATTCTTCTCCAGAGAAAAGTTCCTGGCTTGGGAGCTCCCTTAGGACTTGGCACTTTGGTCTAGAGTGAAGTGGACCTGGCCATTCCAGCTTTGAGTGGGTTCAGGCGAGACACTCGAGCTACCCCTTATGGTTGCTCTGAAGGTCACCCTGGCTGGGAGTGGGTGGATCTCTGCTCTGTTATGCCTCCCACAGGTGGAGGAAGTCTGTCTCTGAGGCTGCCCTGCCACCCTCATAGAGCGCTGCAGATTGGGGGCGGTGATGCAGCCACAGGGGCTCTGATTCCCTGCCTCCCCACTGTGTTCATCTCATTCCTCTCCACATATGAGGCCTGGTGTCATGGCAGGTGGGTGTTCCAAGTGAAACCACAGCCACAGAGGCAAGCAGTAGAGCCTGTCCCTGATGTGGCCCTGGTGATGCTGCACCAGCCTGGGGCTGTATCAGAAACCATGCCTGCAGCCTTTGCTTCTGCAGACTTGCTGGTGCTGCACCAGCCCTGAGCAATGTCCATAGCCCTTGCCTCACTGGTCACTGTGATGGGGACGCCCCCAGGTATGGTTCTGCTGCTGGTGTTGCAGGTTGGAGTGGGGGCCAGCACCCTCATCTACCACAAGAAGGCTTAGGTGGCACAGACGTAAGGCTGCTTGCCTGTGTGTAGAGTGGCAGGCTGCAACGGGCTGGAGCCTTGGGGAGAGGCCCTTGCCACGCTGGTGGCAGTGATTGGGTTCAGGCAGGTGTGTGCCGCAGTGCTGGGCCAGGTGTGAGCTGTGGCAAGAGCTGTGGCCACACTTTCTGCAGGAGTAGGGCCTATCACCTGTGTGAAAGTGTTCGCACAGGGTCAGGTGGGCCCCTTGGCTGAAGTACTTCCTATATTAGGGGGAGGAGAAGGGCCCCTTGCCCAGGCTGTGCTGAGAGAGGTGAGAGCAGTGGGAAGAGACTCCACATTCCAGGCAGGAAATTTGAGTGGATTTGTGGGTGGAGATGGGGGTCCCGGGTAGGGGAGTTGGGGAAGGGTTGGTTGTGACAGCTGGCAGGTAAAGGAGTGCCATAGTAGGTAGAGGGCTGGGTCTGTCCTCTCTTCTCCTCCTCCTCTCCCTTTGCTCCCAGCCTGCAGGGAGAGGGGAGAGAGGTGAGAGCAGCATGGGGGAGGAGGAAGCAGAGGAGACAGAGGTGGGAGAGGAGAGGCTATGCCCCACACCCAACTGAAGAAGTGGTTGGCGGTTTCAGCGGCACCTCCCTCCTCGCTGAGGTGGACTGTGAAGGTGGAGAAGCCCAGAGCACAGCCTCCTGTGAGCAGCTTCCCAGGGTGTTGAGGGCTGCCAGGCAAGGACAGGGCCCTCAGAGTTAGGCCTTGCCTGGGCAGGGGTCTCCTGGGGGAACCTTCCCTCAGGGCCCTGAGGCTCTGGGCTCCAGAGCTCAGCTTCCGCGTTCAGATACATGGTCTGCTCTGCTTTGGAGACTGAGAAGCCTGAGAGGTAAAATCGTGCTGGGTGGTAGGTAGGGTAAGGGAGAGGGAGCTTCCCCCCATCTCCCTCACCCACTGCAGAAAGGCTTCTCTGTTTCCTTCCCCAGCCCAGTCCCACCTCCTCTGTGAGGCCGCTCCTCACCTCCCTACTGGCCTGCAGTGATCCTCCTGCTTGGGAGTCACAGAGCACCCCTACACGGGCCCTTTGCCATTCTTTATAGTATAAGGCAAGGCCGTAACATTTTGTGGGGCATCTTCTTCAGTGTCCTCAGCCTTGTGTGAACATCAGAAGCACTTGGGGGCTTGGGAAAATGCAATTGCTGGCCCCATCTCCAGTTTCTTAAACAGCAGATCTGGGGTGGGGCCCAAGAATTTGCATTTCTAACAAGTTCCCAGGCGATGCTGATGCTGCTAGTCTGGGATCCACACTGGGAGAGCCACTGATCTGTTAGGCGTGTAACTTTACTTGTATTATCTCTCAATTCTCAGGGCAACCTGTTACTCTCCCCCATTTTGCAGGTGAAGAAACAGAGGGAAGACCCAGTGCCTTGTGCAAGGTGGCTCAGTTTGTAAGTGGCAGAGCCGATTTGAACCCACGTTTGTCTGACTCTAATACTGTATCAACCCTCCTTCCTCTACCCTGTTCCTCTGCATTGTCAACTATTCCACATGTATCTTGTTCCTCAACAAAATAGTAACGTTTTCTTTTGCATACTTTATATCTCTCACCTTGCCTGACCCAGTAACATAGGCTTGGTTGGGAGGGACTGAAGGACTTGGAAAGGAAATGCCCCAGTGGAGCCAGGATGGAAATGGGTTCCTCTGTGTCTCCCACATGGTGTCACCTAAATAAACAGCCATGTCTGTGAGGTTCAGTCATGGGGAGAGGAGGGCAAGAGAGCACTCGCACCAAGCGATGGGGTTAGGGGGACACGAAAGGAAATGTGATAAATAGAGAGGGGGGCGTGTGGGGCGAAGGTGAGGACTGGGGACCCGGGAGGGGGCAGGCTGTTTCAGAGTGAAGGCAGGACGGGCAGCAGAGACAGAGAAGAGGCTGCCGGGTGGTTAGGGCTGGGGAGGACAAGGAGGGTGAGGACAGACGATCCCGGCAGCCCCTGGAGCCAGAAGAGAAGTCAGGTTAACTCCAGACTTTTGGCTTCCACCTCTGTATCTCACCCAACTCCTCCCCACCTGCTTCTCTACCCTGAAACTCCAGGAACAACGCCCACCTGCCTCCCACTACAACTTCCCCTTATACCGTACACGTCCTGGATGCTTGGGGTCCGGGAGGAGGGGAGTCAGGATCACGGGTTCCAGGGAAGTGAGTGTAGAAAGGGGCTCCTACGAGGGTAGAAGTGGGTGTTGTCTGCTTCTGCAGGAAAGGGGCCAGCCAGCCCAACTGGTCCGCAGTACTTGCTGGGGCTGGAGGATGCCCACCTGCATCTACGGGATTGAGGGTACCGGAGAGGAGGCGAACAAACGAGAAATCCCAAGGGTGGAGAAGGGAGCCATGGGATCGGCGGGCGGGCCGCGCAGCTGCGGAACTGGGAGGGCCAAGCGGGCTTTAGGGGGAAACACGGCC
>NT_167249.2:4610920-4640508 GCF_000001405.40 Homo sapiens | reverse complement strand
GGCCAGGGCCAGCCCGGTCCAGTCATTGCTGGTGTGGGGATGGTAGACGCCAATGTTGATGGGTGAGGCGTGTGTGTCTTATGGCCTTTCTGTCGATATCTCTGGGATAAGGGGTGAGCACCTGTGATTCAGAGCAGAGCCCAGTAAGCCCAGAAAGAAAGGAAGCCTTGACTACCTGTCTCATTGGCCTCCTGGACAGGGTCCCCCTCCCCCTCCCTGTGCCCTCGATGCTGCCACGCAGCTGGCTCTGGGGAGCACTGGGGCTGGCTGCCAACAGGACGGCCCTCCGGACAGGCCAGGATCAGGTGTCTGAGGCCAGAGCCAACTCTTTGCATTCCTGCCTAGCCCCTCCTCCCTCTGGCCAGCCAGGCTCCCCTGGGACCCTGGTGCCCACAACCCTGATCTTTTCCTTCTTTTTCCCAGGACCCAGAATTCCTGGCTTCTAGGAAAGGGGATTTGATGTCAAGGAGGGGGCTGTGAGCACCAGGTCCTCAGCAGGCTGGAAAAAGCCCATTTCTGGAGACACTGAGGGCTGATTTATATTTAACTTGACTATTCAATTCTTCTCTGCTTTAGAGAGAAAATGGTCAGAATGGCAGCACAAAAGATTTAGATTAGATTACAGAAGGAAGAACTTCCAAGATGTGAGGACAGTGAAGCCCAGGGCCAGGAAATTGAGGCGTATGGTGCCTGTAGACTCTAGGAGTCTTTCTTAGGGGGAAGAGGGATCCTCTGGCATGGAGGCAGGGGGATGGCTAAGATGACTGTTTCTTATTTCAGGGGCTGAGTGGGTAGAGATGGGACTTTAGGGAAATGAGTTACTGTAGAATTCCTAAGGTTAGAGAATAAGGCATTTGGGGGGCCAGAGGTAGAGTGGTGGAGGGTAATGGGGCTACCAGTGGAGAGCCTGTGGGGCAGATGAGGCTGGATACAGGGGGGCAAGTATGTGGCCTGGTGTGGGAAGATGGTGGGCGGACCTGTGGGTAGGTTGTCCATATGATCGAATTGTACTCCCTTGGGATTTGGTGGAGGGTGGGGACCTCCGAGGTCTCCTTGGCCTGGGGTCTCTGTGAGTCTCTGTGTCTCTGTCTCACTCACCCTTCGTCTCTCAAAGCGGCCCTTGTGTGTTGGTGTTTGCGGAGCTGCCACACGCGCAGGGGCCAGGCTTAGGTGGGGGTTGGGGGGGAAGGCCGTGGTTTCCCGGCTCCTGGACTCAAAGGGCCTTTTCTCTGCCTGCCCGCCCCACCTCACCCACCCCACCCAGCTCCACTCTCCTGATTGCTCTGGCCTCTGCCCTGCCCCACACTTCTATGAAAGTTTTGCTGGAACTCTCTTTGGGATTTTTCCAATCTGGAGCTGATGGTGTGAAGAGTATGTGTATAGGGGAGCAAGTGAGGGCAAGGTGATCTTTTGTTTTCCAGGGAGTTTGAGCCCTAGGAAGCTGAGTTCTAGGTAGACAGGGCTGGTGGGCTGGATCTTGAATCTTTGGGTCCCAGGTGGTGGGGTTGGTGGGGGTGGTGAGACAGGATTGAGGTTCCAGGTGTGGGGAGCTTGCCTGGGTTCTGGGCAAGCACTCTGATGGGATCCACAGATGTGTGGCTCAGGGCCCTGGACCTGTTCCGGATCCTCGTGGCAGCTTCAGCCCCTGCCCCCCATTCCTCCACCCCTCCCCAACTCATCTCCTAAACCAGGAGGCACAGACTCCTGGGAGAGCTTTCTTGTATCTTTTTCCTCAGCATGCTCAGGGTTGTTCCCACCCCATCCCCCAAACCTGGGATCTGTAGCTGCTTGAAGCCCCTCTCATAGAGCTGCTTCTCTGATCTCTTCCTCGTGGCCCCCCTGCACCTCCTGTGTCCAGGATGATCGATTGCCCAGATGTTGTTTGTGCTGGAGACGGGACAGATGCCAGAGACCCAGAGAGTGAGAGATATGGAAAGAGAGTGAGAGCGAGGGAGAGAAAAAGATGGACAGAATGTGAGAGAAATGGAGGAAGACAGAAGAGACAGAGACAGAAAGACCAACATAAAGAGACAGAGAGAGTAAGAGAGTGAGAGAGACAGGAGACAGATGAAGAGTTGAGAGAAGTATTCAGAGAGTACAGAGAGAGACAGATTCATAAGCTAAAAGACAAAGAGAGAGCGTAAGAGAGGCAGATGCTAGGAGAGACAGGGGCAGGAGTGTCATGGGGTTGAATGCCAGCTGATGCTGCCCTGCCTCCAGGTACCTTTGCATTTCCCATCCATTCAGGTACTGTTCAGAAGCAAGTGAGGGTGAGGTGACCTTTCCCTTGCAGGGAGTTTGAGCCCTGGAAAGCTGAGTTCTAGATCCCAAATGTCCCCTATTTATGCCCTCCTGAGGGCATGTCCCTTCTCCTGATAATCATGGACTCTCCCAGGTGCACCCCCTGTGGATGTGCTCCGGGCCCTGAGGTTCCCCTCCCTCCCTGATGGTGTCCGGAGAGCGAAAGGCATCTGTCCAGCTGATGTGGCCTACCGAGTGGCACGACCTGCCCAGCTCAGTGCACCCACTCGCCAGCTTTTCCCAGGTATGGGTGACATGGTGGGGTAGGCCTGGGGGGAGGTAATGGGATGGGGCCTAGGATCAGACACCAGGAGGAAAGGGGTTGTGGCGGCTCCCTTTGCCTCTCACTCTGTGTGTATCTCTCTCGGTTACTAGGAGGATTTCCCAAAGATTTCTCTCTGCTGACTGTTGTCCGGACCCGCCCTGGTCTCCAAGCTCCCCTCCTGACTCTCTACAGTGCCCAGGGTGTCCGACAGCTGGGCCTGGAGCTGGGCCGACCTGTCCGCTTCCTGTATGAAGACCAGACTGGGCGGCCTCAACCTCCCTCTCAGCCAGTCTTCCGAGGCCTCAGCCTAGCAGATGGCAAGTAAGTTTGTTTGCTCCTCTGGTCTGCCTGGCCCACACTTTCAGGAGGAAGTGCCCCCAAACCCCTACACTCTAAACTGTGAAACCCTTGAGACCCTTTGGGCCACACCACACCTACCCACTGCCCAAACTTCAGTCACTTCTAGTCCAGAGTTTGGGCTTTAGAGTGTACAGCCTTCTCTGCATGTTGAACTAGCCTGTACCTTGGGCAAGTTACTTAAAATTTTTGAGCCTCAGTTTCTACATCTGTAAAATAGACATTAAATAGAATTGGCACAAATAAGAAAGTGACGGCATGGTGTCTGGTGCACTGTAAACACTCAATAAATGGTAGCCATTGTTATTACTGCTCTTATCACCATTGGCTTCAACTCTTATCACTGCTCTCCAACCATGTTGACTCCCCTACTTCAGTCAGCCAAGAGTTCACTTGAACCTCTTCCACCATTTCCAGGTGGCACCGTGTGGCTGTGGCTGTGAAGGGCCAGTCTGTCACCCTCATTGTTGACTGCAAGAAGCGAGTCACCCGGCCTCTCCCCCGAAGTGCTCGTCCAGTATTGGACACCCATGGAGTGATCATCTTTGGTGCCCGTATTCTGGATGAAGAAGTCTTTGAGGTAACCAGAGCAATCAGAGGCAGGATTGACTTCTGGTCCCCTATCTTGTGCCCACTACCCTTCTGGCCCCAGCATGTCATCTTCCTATTCCCTAGGCCTTCATTTTTTTTTCTTATGAATTTTCATTTCTATTTTCTATCTTCAGGGCTACTGTTCTCTGCAGGAGAACTAGATGCCTACCTATATGGCAGGACTGTCCACAGCCACTTACTCTGTCCTTCAGTCTTCATCAGTTCCCTCATCCATCCATCCTTTCAACCCCTCTCTCTCCTCACCCACCCATCAATTCACTCACTCCTCAGCCAACCTATGCACACATCCACCACCCACTCCCCCATCTATTTACTCATCTATGCATCACACGCCCACCTAGTCATGCATGAAGGCTTATATCCACCCACCTGTCAATCCTCCCCCTGCTTAACCACTCTCCCCTTCAAACCACCCATCTATGCTTCCACCCATCTATCCTCTTCAACTCCTCCATCCAGCTATTCACTCACCCACCCACCCTCCCCATCTACCCATGCACACAAGGATGCATGCATCCATTCAGCCACCATCTATCCATTATCCTTCCACCAACTCAACCACTCCCTCCTTCAATATACTCACTCACCCATCTCCTGACCCACTTACTTCCCATCCGACCAGTCATTCACCCACATAAGTTCACCCATCTACCTATTCACCCATTTGCTTCCATCTACTCTGTAACCCCTGTTCATCTGCCCACCAGTCCACCCTCCCATACGTACATTTATTCATTCACTATTTATCAATGCTCCCATTCATTAATGCATGTAAGCCCCCAGCCACCCATCCACTCATCTATCCATTCATCCATCCCTCCATTCACCCATCCCTCCATTCACCCTCCAAGCCAGTCAACATTTTCTGAATACCTGCTGGACAAGGAGAACAAAGAAGAGAATATAAAGTCTCTATCACCCCCAAGAGCTCCCAGGTGGGCTCTGGAAATGAGACAACATCCCTAAATTACGGTGCAATGGAGAGTATGCTAAGCACCATGTGTGGGCAAAAGTAAATGCCATTGGAACTCAGGAATGGGTTCTCCCCACTCCATTTCTAGAGGTCCAGAGAATTCTCATCATCACTGCCATTGGAAGGCCAAGGCATCTAAAGCTGAGCCCTGTCTCTGGAAGCCACTGTGGAAGGGCTCATGCATTGCCACAAAGCGCAGAGGGGAGGCAAAGAATTCTGGAAGGCCTGGGATCTGGTCCTGATTCTGCCACTCTGGGTGACCTTGGGGCAGTCATTGCCTTTTTGGGCTTTTCTGAATGGAACGTATCTGAAAAATGGGTAGAAAGAAAGATCCTTGTTCTGCCAACTTTCCTGGTTGTTATGAAGGTCCTATGAGATCCCTTGAAAACTGAAAAGGGCTATGCATATGGAGGACTGACAGTGACCTTCTCCCATCTTAGGGTTTTACCTAGGATTGGCCTCCTATACTCTTTCTCCCGGATGATACCCTCTGCCTCTCTCTGAATCTCTCCGCTCCATCTCTCTCATGTCTTTGCAGGGTGATGTCCAGGAGCTGGCCATTGTCCCAGGGGTCCAGGCAGCCTATGAATCATGTGAACAGAAGGAGCTGGAATGCGAGGGGGGCCAGAGGGAAAGACCCCAAAACCAACAGCCTCACAGAGCCCAGAGATCTCCACAGCAGCAACCATCAAGACTTCACAGGCCACAAAATCAGGAACCCCAGAGCCAGGTGAGGGAGCTGGGAGAACCCCCAAGTGCAGCACACCCCAGAGAGGGAAGACACCCAGGCATCTCTCCTCCTTAGTTGTCCTCCCCACCCTCATCTCCCTATTCCCATCACCCCCTCCTCCTAGTCCTCATTCATCAGCCTTTTTATTTTCATCTAAAAATAAAAAGAGTTGTTATGAAGAATTTGTGGCTGGGAGCTGTGTTCCCTGCTCTGCGTCTCCTCTTCCAGTCTTCCTGGAACTGTGTCCCTGGGTTTTCCCTTCCTTCTTTGAATTAAGAGATTGGGAGACAGTGGGAGAGGGGTGAGAGCTGGGGAGGCAGGTAGGAGAGGGGACTGAAGCCAGGAGAAAGCAGTCGGGATGGTGAGACCAAGGAGGAGGAATGGGAAGGAGTAGGGATGGAGGGAATATCAAAGGAGGGGTGGGTCTGCAGAAGTGTGGGAGTGGGGAACCCAGTCTCTGGCCCCCACCTACCTGGAGGGGCAGGAAAAGGGGAGGTAGTAGGGGGAAGGGAAGGGAAGGGAAGGGAAGGGAGCCTGGGTTGGATGGGGTCTGGAGAGTTAGAATACAGATAGGCTCTGGGGTCAGTGGTCTAAAGATCAGAGGGTCAATCTCTTAATCATGTCTGCTTCTGCCCCACATGTGGAACCCCTTCCCTCTGTTCCACCTCTCCCCACCTCCCTCCTGACCCTCAACCTCTCCTTTCATCTTCAACTCTCTGTTTCCCAACTCCACACCTCCCCCGTTTCCCAACTCCCACACCATCTTTATATCTCCCTCTCCCGCCCTTCACCCCACACCTTCCAATTACCCCATCCCCTTCCTGTCTATGCCCACCCCCCAATCCCAGCCCACTGAGTCTCTCTACTATGACTACAAGCCCCCCTATTATGATGTGATGACTACGGGGACAACCCCTGATTATCAGGTAAACTCAAGGGACCCCTTCATTTCTTCCCTTTCTCCCAGCACCCCCAGCAATCATCTCCTAGGACACCTTCCTCCCCTCCCCCATGCCGTGGGGAGAGGCACAGTGTGTTTAGATTATGGGGATTTACTTAGTTCCTGCCCCCTCCCTGTCTCTCTGCTGCAGCGCCCTGGGAGCCCCCACCACAGGCCTCCCCCTTCCCCTAGGGGGCATCGGACCCCTCCCTGAAAGCCTACCCCACCTGCCAAGAGGTCAATGACCTGGCAGGCGTCCCCCTCACCAGGCCGGAGGCCCTCTCCAACTGCAGGCTTTGACCCAGCATGGGAGCAGCCTCCCCTTTCCCGATGCCCAGCTCGGAGGGCAGCTTCCCCCACTGCCTGGCCCCGCCCCAGGACCAGAGGCAGCAGTTACCGGCAGGTAGAGCCGGGGCATCCAGATCTCTGCCCCCAAACCTCTATGACCTTGGAGGTTCACTCTCCCCAAACTATCCCCCTCCAAAGGGGCTGCAAGATCTGAGATTTCCCCCATCCCCCAGCACAGACAGACCCTGCCCTCGGGGGACAGGTGCTGCTTTGCCTCCCTTCTGCTAACCTTTCTCCTTCCTTCCCACCCCGTGCTACTCTTCTCCTTCTCTCCTTGGGGACAGGACCCCACCCCAGGTGAAGAGGAAGAAATCCTGGAGTCGAGCCTCTTGCCACCCCTTGAGGAGGTAACTCTATGCCCCACCCTCACCCCATCTGGGGGCAGTGGGCACCTGTGACTCACTCCCCTCAGCCCATGACGTCTTGATGGACCAGCCCCTCCTCTGGCCGGAGGGTTCTTCCTCATTTCCATCGATGGCCTCTGTCTTTGGGTCACTCTAGAACTATGGGCCTGCTTGACTCTCTAAGTCCAGCCCGTTCCCTTCAGTATCCAGGCCTCCTTCCATGATTCTTTGATTCCTGAGTGACTTCGTCTCCATGTTGGTGTCTAATGGTCTTACTTTCTATGTCCTATTTCTGTTCCCGGGAGCCACTTTCTGTCCAGTGTTGTCACCTTTTGTCTTCCCTATCTCTTTGGTCATTCCTGGACTCCTTTGTCTGTCATTGTGTCCATGGACTGTCCACTCTGCATCCAGTCCTCTGGCCACCCTTCATTTTATCCACCACTTCTTCCCACTGGACCCACTTTCTGGACATCTCTCCCCATTTTTGGCCTTTGATGGCCCTTCCATTTATATACAACCACTCCCATGGCTATTCTTGGGAGAAAAAATCCAGTTCTGATTAACCTTGGAATCCTTTGGGCTAGAAGTTGTCACACCCTGGGGTCCAGGGTAAGCCTCCTCTCAGCCCTAACATCCCCATCTACCCCTCTCCCTCCCCATCCCTGGGAAGGAGCAGACAGATCTCCAGGTCCCCCCCACAGCCGACAGGTTCCAGGCAGAGGAATATGGGGAGGGTGGCACAGACCCCCCTGAAGGGCCCTACGATTACACCTATGGCTATGGGGATGATTATCGTGAGGAGACAGAGCTTGGCCCTGCCCTCTCTGCGGAGACAGCCCACTCAGGAGCCGTAAGTGAAAGGAGCTTCTCTTTCATTCTTGACTACCAGTGGGAGCTACAAGAATTGCTTCTTGTTGGTTTCGATCCTTGGCTGTTGGCTGTGAGCTATTTCCCATCTGTGACTTGTCATTTTCTGTTCACATATGATGTATATGTTGCTTGAAAAGATTACTACCTGCCTTCCTTTGCCAAATGTCTTACCTTGTGACTCTTGTGGATACTTCTGAAGCTCAGGGCAATTGGGAATTAAAAAAAAAAAATATGTAGCCACTTCCTGTCTTTCTTGATCACTTCCTGTCTAACTGAAGCTGGATTTCATAAAGCTTTTGGTCAATAAACTACTACCTTGTGTCCATTTTCAGTGTTTCTCTATCATTTCTTCTTGGTGAAATAATTTTTTGTTCATGTTTCTACCAAACGATCTAACTTCCTATGTCACCTTTTTTTAACCTACAGGCCACTTATTATCTGTCCCTTCCTGCCTTCTCCAGCTGTGGCATCCATCTTGGTAACTGTGTCAGGTTGGACTGCAAAGGATTTATTATTTCTGTTCTGGCTCTAGTTTTTCATGCTATCTTGTGACAATTTCCTTTGACAATAAGCCACTTCCTGTATGTCTCAGGTCATTTAAATCATAAAGTTTCCATTGTGGGCCTCGATATTTCTCATGGCTACTTCCTGTGTGTCCTAGCCTTGATGTTTGTGTTTTCTGGAAGAATTACCCTTCACTGTCATGATTCCCTTTGCAGGAGTCACATTCTACCTGTTTTGTGCCTTTCTTTTCTCTCTGGGTCACGGTAGCCATGTTGTTGTTGAAGGTTCACTTCCTGGATCCTCTTTCCTTCACTGCTTCCTGTCTGTTCAGCCACTTCCTGTTTGTCCAGTTTGTTTTCTAGCCATGTTGGCCATGTTTAATTTTCTTCGGCCCTGGCATCATTCTTGCTTCCAAGTGTTTGTCATTTTGTTCTGTGTCCCTTAGTTGTTCTCATATCTTCCAGTATTCCCTGTCAGTGGGACTGCTTCCTGTCTACTCCGCTCCGTCTTCTGCCTGCCTTGCAGTTCTGGCTGCCTCCTCTACCCTGCTGCCGCATCCCATACCTCCCCTCTCTTGCCTCCCTTGAGCTTCTACTGCCTTTCCTTTATGCTGCTCTCTGGGTATTTGGGGTTGATATGGGATTTCAGAGAATTTTGAAACGGATCATTGCTGTTTGGTCAGAATGAAGGTGGAGAGGGGCATTCTGAAGATCTTTGTTGGGGGGAGTTGGGGTGGTGGTGAATGTCTCCCATTCTCCATGTTCTTATTTTGTTTCTGGCCCTAGAGTTGGGAACAGGTATCTGAGTGGAGGTGTGCAAGGGAGGGAACTGGTGGGCTTGGAATGTACTTGAGGGCCAGAGGAAGGGCAATGCATTCAGTGGGGACTGCTCTCCAATTTTTTTTTTTTTTGAGGCAGGGTCTCACTCTGTCACCCAGGTTGGAGTGCAGTGGCAGGATCTTGGCTTACTGCAACCTCTGCCTCCTGGGTTCAAGCGATCCTCCTGCCTCAGCCTCCCGAGTAGCTGGGGTTACAGGCATGTGCCACTGCGCCCGGCTATTTTTTGTATTTTTAGTAGAGACGGGGTTTCACATGTTGGCCAGGCTGGTCTCAAACTACTGACCTCAAATGAGCTGCCTGTTTCGGCCCCACAAAGTGCTGGGATTACAGGCGTGCGCCACCGTGCCTGGCCTCCAAATTTACTTAGAGTATGGATGCTTAACCTTTGGGGCATATTTAAACTTGTGAACCCTTTGAAATCCTAAATAAAATTCTGTGCATAATAGCATATACTTTTTCATTTCTGGAGAAAGACTCACAGCTTTCATCAGATTCTTTTTTTTCTTTGAGATGGAGTTTTGCTCTTGTTGCCTAGGCTGGAGTACGATGGCATAATCTTGGTTCACTTCAACCTCCACCTCCTGGGTTCAAGCTATTCTCCTGCTTCAGCCTCCCAAGTAGCTGGGATTACAGGCATGTGCCACCACACCCAGCTAATTTTGTATTTTTATTAGAGACGGGGTTGCACCATGTTGGTCAGGCTGGTCTCAAACTCCTGACCTCAGGTGATCTGCCTGCCTCCGCCTCCCAAAGTGCTGGGATTATGGGCGTAAGCCACCTCGCCCGGCCTAGCTTTTATCAGGTTCTCATGTGGGTCCATGCCCTCCTCTTACCCCAAATAAAAATCTACCCACAATCTTAGAGAGATTCTTTTATGATGTATTGGGGTAAATGTGTGGAAGGTTTCTTAAGGTTCTAGGGAGGGAGTTTGGGAGATGGGATAGGGTCCTCTAGAAGAGGGTTTGGGAAGGTGGGTGGTTTAAAATCCCTGAAAGGGGCCAGGTGTGGTGGCTCACGCCTGTAATTCCAGCACTTTAGGAGGCCAAGGCAGGCGGATCACCTGAGGTCAGGATTTTGAGACCAGCCTGGCCAACACGGTGAAACCCCATCTCTAATAAAAATACAAAAATTAGCCGGGCATGGTGGTGCACATCTGTAATCCCAGTGTAATCCCAGCTACTTGGGAGGCTGAGGCAGGAGAATCACTTGAACCTGGAAGGCAGAGGTTGTAGTGAGCCGAGATCGCGCCATTATACTTCAGCCTGGGTGACAGAGCAAGACTTCGTCTCAAAAAAAAAGAAAAACAAACAAACAAACAAAAACACTGGAAGTTTCTGGGGACCTTCCTGAAAGAGGCTCTCAGGGAGATGGAGAGGTTGTGTTTGCTGAGGTGGGGCTGGGAACTGGGGGGCAGGGAACCCTGAGGTCTCCTTGGCAGGCTTGAAAGGTTTGTGAAGAGGGAGTTTTAGGGGAGGGCTGTGGGGCTTTCGGGTAGGGCTGAAGTGGTCTCGAGAGGATCTAAGAATCAAGGTTGGAGTTGAGATGGAGAAAGGCCTAGTGTCCTGGCTGCTCACGGGCCCCACTGGGGGCTACATGTGTGTCTCCTTCAGGCTGCCCATGGACCCCGAGGGCTGAAGGGAGAGAAAGGAGAGCCTGCAGTGTTGGAACCTGTAAGTTATGCTGGTCACAGGGCTGAGGCAGTGGAAATAGGAGAAGCAAGTGGGGTTGAGTGTGCTGGTCCTGTCGCCTCTGATTTTTAACCTTTGACTCCACAGGGTATGCTCGTGGAGGGGCCCCCTGGCCCAGAAGGCCCTGCGGTAAGTCTAGCAGTGACCTGGTGGCCATTCTTTTCTTAGAAACCCCTTCTATGTGCTCATCTGAGCCTTCCCCACATATGCCCAGGCCTCCTCCTCAGAACTCGGGAGCATCCCTCCAATCAACGCTTCCCAGATTCCCAGATCTGTTCTGCACAGACCACTCCTCAGCCACAGGCTGAGTGTCCACACCTGTCTGAATGCCCACACCTGACCCCTACTCTTTTGTTCCTCAGGGATTGATTGGTCCCCCTGGCATCCAGGGGAACCCAGGCCCAGTTGGAGACCCTGGAGAGAGGGTAAGGGGGTGTCCTCCATGTGACGGGGGAGCTTCGGGGGAGCTAGTGGTATCCAAGCGGGGGGCTACCATGCCCAGTAATTTCCTGTTAGGTGGCTTGTTAATGAATGAGGGGATGGTTGTGCTTCCCAGCAACCAGAAAGGAGGGCAGACTCTGGTTGGGGAGGGTGCTGATCTGGTTTCTCACCCTCAATTTTCCCCATGGGGGTGGGAGACTCAGGAAAGAGCTAGAGCAATCTACACTTATTCTGTTGAAGAGGATATTTCAAAATCATGCTAAGATCTTGATGTCCCCTTATCTTTCACCCCATCTTTTGCATTCTCTTCCCACTCCAGGGCCCCCCTGGCCGAGCAGGGCTCCCTGGATCAGATGGGGCTCCTGGTCCTCCTGGCACATCTCTCATGCTCCCAGTGAGTTGTCTCTTGGGTTTTGGAACATGCTGATGGGGAAGACAAGGAATTGTGTCATGTTACCAAGAACCAGATGGGCAGGAAAGATATGGAGGAGTCTCTAAAGATCATCAAAGATCATCACTCCAAAGGGATTCGTCTTTGGGGTTGGGGAGATGGGGCCTCATTAGGTGACCTAGAACAAAACACCAGTCTTCTAGGACTGGGCAGAACAGCCTATATTTCAGGAGCTCTAGAACCAAAAGAGAGTCTTTCTGGAGGCAGAGGCTGGACAGTGGAGGAGGGCAGGAGTTGAGTTTCTGGAATCCTCTAAGTGATTATCTGGAAGCCATGGGAAATGCTGGATGGGCAGAACCTGGGGCAAGGGGCAGAAACGCTGGAGAAAGCCTCTGGCTGGGAGGGTCCCATGGCTTTCTTGGAAGAGAACCTGGACCTTCTCTCCTTGCCCTCAGTTCCGGTTTGGCAGTGGTGGGGGTGACAAGGGCCCTGTGGTGGCGGCCCAGGAGGCTCAGGCCCAGGCGATCCTGCAGCAGGCGAGGGTGAGTGGGGCTGCTTCCCTGGAAAGGGAAGGCTCTGGGGGGCACTGGAAGGGTTGGCTGGAGTGAGTGTGCGGCAGGGGAGGCCTGGGTTGGTTTGGGGTTAACAGGGAGGTTGGGGAGAATCCTGGGCAGTGGATGAGGATCAGGAGAGGAAGGGTGAATTTGGAGAGTGCTGGGGCTGGGGGTTCCCACTGCCTGTCCCTCAGCTCTGCTGTCCCCCTGCTCCCCTAGCTGGCGCTCCGTGGACCCCCTGGCCCCATGGGATACACAGGGCGCCCTGGACCCTTGGTGAGTGAGCAGGGTGCTCGGGTGGAGGATGCTTTAATTGTGTGTGGGGTGTGGATAGTTCTGGAAAGGGGCTTCTTTTGGGGAACACTCCGAGGCCACTGTTGGCTGTGTCCTTCCTTACGGCCATCCTCTCTTCTCTCTCCCAGGGCCAACCTGGGAGCCCTGGCCTGAAAGGAGAGTCTGGAGACTTAGGACCTCAGGTGACCACTTTCCTCCACTGCACCCCCATATCTGTTCACCAGCTCAGTCTCCCTCACTCCCCTCCCTATGCCTCCTAACCCCACCCCATCTCTCCTCTCACCAGGGCCCCAGAGGACCTCAGGGCCTCACAGGCCCTCCTGGCAAGGCTGGGCGAAGGGTGAGTGCCCCAGGGGTGGATGGGTGTTGTGGGGAGACAGGGCCTGCAGGGTAGGGGACTGCGGCCCTGCTTGTTCTGACACTTCCCTTGTTCTCCCAGGGCCGGGCAGGTGCTGATGGAGCCCGAGGGATGCCTGGAGATCCTGGAGTGAAGGTAACAGGCTTGGGCCCCTCCCTGAAGCCTGTAGCCTTCAGCCCACGCTGGGCTCAGTTGTTTCTTGGGGATGACCTAGTTCTCCAGGCTTCCCCAGGATCAGCACCCCCCCAGCTCAGGGTGCAGTAGGGAGGGGTGGGCTTGGACAGGGTCGTGTCCTCACTCTGGCTATCCTTCCTCCTCCTAGGGTGACCGAGGTTTTGATGGACTCCCAGGGCTCCCTGGAGAGAAGGGCCATAGGGTGAGTACATTAGTGGGTGTGTGTTGTAATTGGGGATAGATCTTCTATGGGAGTGAGGATAGGTAGGGAAGGGAGGCTGGAGGCTTGGCAGGAGCTCAGTGAAAGTAATGGATGGGCTAAGTGCAGAGGTTCGGTGTCTGCCTGTGTTGGGGGCTCTGAAGCCCCTCTTATGAGTTCCCCCATTTTGCAGGGTGATACTGGTGCCCAGGGCCTTCCTGGTCCCCCTGGTGAGGATGGAGAGAGGGTAAGTGTAGTGGCAAATGTAGGGGCTGGGTGCAGGGGAGGTCTAGAAGGCACAGCAGCTTTACCGTGTCCTCCTCCTCCAGGGAGATGACGGGGAGATTGGGCCTCGAGGGCTGCCTGGAGAGTCGGTGAGTGTCCAAGGGCTGGTGCTGGGGGAGGGGGCTCTGGGGAAGCCAGGAGGGGGACATGAGCACTAAAGGGACACAGTTTTATCCATTCATGCCGTCTCCTCCCCTCACCGTGAATGCAGGGACCTCGAGGTCTCCTTGGCCCCAAAGGCCCACCTGGTATTCCTGGACCCCCTGTAAGTGACTCCCTGACTTCTGACCCTGAGGTGACCCCTTGACCTCTCCAACTCTCCACCTTTCTAGCTGCCTTCCTGCTCCCTCTCCTCTCTCGGCATGCTTCCCATTCCCTGTGAGCTCCCCCTGCTCTGGCCCCACACTGCCCTGCCTCAGCATTCGCTCCCCGTGCACAGGGAGGGCCATGTGGCGTGGTGCCCCGAGGGCTCTGGGCATAGGAAATAAATCTTCAAGAAAAACAAAACCAAAGCCCACAAGCCCACAGATCCACAGTCCCACACACTGCAGGCCTGGGCCAGCTGTGTTTGCTTGGGTTTGGGATGGATTGGAGGTCTGACCGTCACACCCTCGGGAATGGCCGGGCCTCTGAAAACCACAGGTCCCTCCGGGCCACCTTCAGGCTGCTCACACCCATCTTGTGTTTCAGGGCGTCCGAGGCATGGATGGTCCCCAGGGCCCCAAAGGGAGCTTGGTGAGTGATGGATAGGAGATCCCACCCCCATTCTTATCCCCCGAGGTCCCTGCCAGCATCCTGTTGGCCTCCATTTTGACCCCTGCCTGCTTCCTGCTCTTGCCTTCTTGGCTATCGCTGCTGGGACTCAGCTCCATGCTCTAAATGTGTTCTATCTCCATCTCCTTCTGACCTGTGCCTGGTCACCTGTTTCTAGGGACCCCAGGGAGAGCCAGGACCTCCTGGACAACAGGGCACCCCTGGGACCCAGGTGAGCGGTGCCCCTACTCCGTTCCCCAATTTTCATGACTTCCCTTGGGCTTCCACAATGGGTGAGACCCTGGAAGGATACAGGAAATTAAGGGTTTCAGGCCCTTGTTGCTCATGCTTTGAATCCGGGAGGCTGGATAGAAGAGACCCTGGGAGGCCCCTGTGACTTCTCTTTCCCTGTATGTAGGGTCTTCCCGGGCCCCAGGGTGCCATCGGCCCTCATGGAGAGAAGGTAAGTGACTAAGTGATTTGGAGGACAGGGGGTTTAGAGTGGGGATGTAGGGAGAACCCTAAATGTCTGCTGGGATTTTGTCTGTGTCCAGACATGACCCCTCTAGTGACCCTGAGCCTCTTTGTCTTCCTGCAGGGTCCTCAAGGGAAGCCAGGGCTCCCCGGCATGCCTGGCTCAGACGGACCCCCGGTGAGTGGGACCCCACTTCCGAATCCAGTTCCCCTTGGCCTTCCACCCCAGTGCATGACCTCAGAGCTCCTTTAGTGACCCTTGCACTGAAAGGTCACTGGTGGTGCTTGTCCATGGACAGTTGGCTTCACTAGGTCACAGGAAATTTGGGTTGGAAGAAGTGTAGGGAGGGGTGCAGAGAGGGTGACAGGGGCCACTGGTCACATTTTCTATCCCTTACTCCCAGGGTCACCCAGGGAAGGAAGGTCCCCCTGGAACCAAAGGAAACCAGGTGAGATCTTCCATGTCTTTATCCCCTGAGGGAGTCTCCACTCAGACTCTAGAGCCTCAAAGTCCTTGGGATTCCCTTGTCTCATTATTCATATGGCTCTGCCACATTCTCAATTCCTGTGCCCTGTAACCCTACCCAGACAGCAATGTTGTTACTTCCATTTCTTCCACCCCTGGAGGCCCCCACAGTGACACTCTGAGGCCCCTTTATAAATGCCTCTCTTTTATCTTCCAGGGTCCCTCTGGACCTCAGGGACCTCTAGGATACCCAGGACCTCGAGGGGTCAAGGTAACTGACCACCAGGCTGGGAGACAAAGGGCTGTGGTCAGGGGAGCTATATGGGGTCTTAGGAGCTTGGTCCTTCCAACCCACCTCCATCCCCTGATCAGTCTACTTCTATCCCCTCTCTAATTCTAGGGTGTGGACGGAATTCGGGGTCTGAAGGGTCATAAGGGTGAGAAGGTGAGCACCATGCCCCCAGCTTCCCAGCACCTCAGTCCTGCCATCTCCTCTCTTCACTGCCTTCCCTCCAGCCTGCCCCGCACTGCCGTCCAGCTCCCGAGCCCCTGCTTCCACCTATGTTCTCAGAATTCCCATTAGAACCCCAGCCCTCTGTCATCTGTGGTGCCCTCTCACCTCTATCTTTCTCAGGGTGAGGATGGCTTTCCTGGGTTCAAAGGTGACATAGGCGTGAAAGGTGACAGGGTGAGTAGAGACCCCACACTGGCCCCAATTCCGTGTTCTACTGAGCCTCCACTCTGGAGACGCCAAGCACCGGTTTATTCTCCTGAGTCTCCAGACTCCACAGTTCCAGTGCTGTGTTCCCTTGGGAGCCTGACCCCTACAGGATGATAGCCCCATGGTCTGTGTCATGCCTGCCCTCCCATCACTACACTATCCCTACCCTGTGGGCTTCCTGTCCTGCAGTGGCTCCTGGGACCCCTCTAGCCCTCCTCAGCCTCACTGTTGCCCATTTCTCCTCTGGGCCCAGAGCCCACCTCCAGTCCCCAGCACTCACCTGTCCTTCCCTCTCACACAGGGCGAAGTTGGAGTCCCTGGTTCCAGGGGAGAGGATGGTCCTGAGGGGCCAAAGGGACGCACTGGACCGACTGGAGACCCTGGGCCCCCAGGGCTCATGGGCGAGAAGGTGATGGGATGAGGGTTCTGTGCCTGGGTCCTCTGGGGGTGTGGGCACTGGGGTCAGGATGGGCATGGGTGCCCGCCGCTGAAGTCAGCCAGTCAGTTGAAGATGGCCATGCATTAGTCATACTTCTGTCTGTGTAAATGGCATCTCTCAGCTGCTGATGGGCAGAGGGGATATATAAGAAGTCAGGGAAAAGTCCCTGACACGAAGAGTTGGACGGAGACGAAGCTTAGAGAGTAGCTGTTGCTTCAAGGCAGAGTGAACATGCGTTCGGACTCCAAGCAGCAGGAGTTCTGAGATGAGAGAGTCTAATAGCAGTGAGGTCTGTGGTCTCCAGAGCTGACTCTCCCCAGCACTTGCCCTATGCCAGGTGCTGTGCTGATGCGTCCTATCTATCCTATGAGGTAGGCATGTGACGTACTGTTTTGCTGAGGTTTTACAGAGGCACAGGGATGCTTGTTGATTACATGGCCAGTGAAGGGCAGAGCCAGGGGTTATGCCCAGGCAGTCTGGCTTCAGAATCTCTGCTTCTAAGCCCTGCTCTGCAGCTGCCTGGGCAGGGTGAGCCCTGGAGCCTCTGGGGAAGGGGGCATGCACGGGAGTCGGGGTGTGGTGGGCAAAGGGCCTGCAGGGGGATTGGTCTTGGTGAAGCAGGAGTGGGTGCTGGGGTAGATCCCACCTCCCTCATGGGGTAGATGGAGCTGAGGTTGACATGTGGGAAGCAGCTAGATCACAGTGACCCTGAAGGACCTGATACCTCTGTAGGCGCAGGGGAGGTGGGATCCCAGCACTAGAATTGGGGAAAATCCACTCATGGGAAGGAGAGACAACAAAAGTCAGGCAGCTGTGGGGCAAGCAATGAGGGGCTAGAGGCTGGGGTGTGTGGGGTGTGTTGCTGGGTGGGGGCTGGCTGTTATATGTGAGGGTTGAGGTCTCCAGGGGTGGAGTGGCATCTGGGCCTCCTCTCACTCCTAACTGCTTCCTGTCCCTCCACAGGGCAAGCTGGGTGTTCCTGGTCTGCCTGGCTATCCTGGACGTCAGGGACCCAAGGTGATGCCATGCCCCATACGTGCCCCTCCTCCTCTTCCCTCCTCCTCTTCCCTTCCCTGATCCCTGATTCCAGAAAGCACAGATGCAGGGCAGTGGGGGACCCCAGAGGGAATTTAGCTGACCCCCATTTTACAGATGACCGAAAGAGGCCCAGAGAGCAGCAGGGGTTTGTCCAAGGCCACTTAGTTCTTGGCAGAGCTCGGGTCTCCCTGGCCACTGCCTTTGTGGCCTCTCCTGACCCCCTTTGCCCCTTCCTGAACCCTACCTTTCATAACTTCTCAATTTCCCCCCTTCTCCGTTCTCACCAGGGGTCCCTAGGATTTCCTGGCTTTCCTGGTGCCAGTGGAGAGAAGGGAGCCCGGGTAAGCTGGGGGGTGGGAGGGGGTGAGAAGGGAAGGGCTGGAGAGGTGTAGAGGGGGTCTGTGGGGAGTCTCACCCTGGGTAATGTTCTCTCTGCTTCATTCCCACCAGGGCCTGTCGGGGAAGTCAGGGCCTCGGGGAGAACGGGGCCCCACGGTGAGTGCAGGGGAGAGAAACAGGTGGCTCAAGGTCCAGAGGGGGGCATTTGGGTTTCTCTGACAACTCCTCTTCCCTCTGTAGGGTCCACGGGGTCAGCGGGGACCCCGAGGTGCCACTGGGAAGTCTGGAGCTAAGGTGAATGGTCTCTACAAGGCTCCAACTGCCCCCTGCCCACTCAGCCCCAGCTCTCCCTCAACATCCTGACCTCGGGGACAGCTGGAAAGCAGCTCTTCCCACTCCTTGACTCTGTTTCCCCCCACAGGGAACATCTGGTGGTGATGGCCCCCATGGGCCCCCTGGAGAGAGGGTAAGTGTGGATCGAAAGTCCCCTTCCCCTGAGGTCCCCAGGGAGCCTGGGTGAGCCAGCTCCCTCCTCACCCCAGGAAGGAAGCTGAATTCCCCCACTCAGCCCCTGCCCCCATTCTCCTGACTCCCCCCACCTCTGTCTCTAGGGCCTCCCTGGACCTCAGGGTCCCAACGGGTTTCCTGGACCGAAAGGACCCCCGGTAAGTTGACCCCGAGCTCTGACCCCCCTCGCTTCTCTGAGTCCTTCTTCCCTACCTGCTTTCCAGCTGAGAGTTCACCTGACAACTGAACCCCTTCCAGGGCCCCCCTGGGAAGGACGGGCTGCCGGGACACCCAGGCCAAAGAGGAGAAGTGGTGAGTGATGCTCCTGGCTACCCATTCTCAGGGGGCTCCATCAGACCCTTTAACCCCAGAGCTGTCTGGAAAGCCCACAGGGACGTTCTCCTGGCAGAGTGGAGCCTGCCCTGGTGCTGCTCAGACCCAGGGCCCAGGGCTCGGTGTGATCCTGCCTGGGATCCTTCCTCCTGGGAATCTGCCCCACAGCGCCCACACCTGCTTTCACTGCATTCTCCTCTCTTCCTCGCCTAGGGTTTCCAAGGGAAGACCGGCCCCCCTGGTCCTCCAGGAGTGGTGGGACCTCAGGTAGGTTTGTCCCTAGGAGAGAATGGACCCCTGACCCTAGCATTAGTCTGTCTGCCCCTCTTCTCTCGGTCACACGCCCCTGCCCCGGTCCACCTGACCCAGACTCCTGGGGCTGGGGTCAATGGTGGGGGCTGGGATTTCAGGCAGGGGTCCTGAACTTCAGTCTGTTTTGGGGCGCATTCTCATCGTCTTGTCCCCCAGGAGAGGCAGTTCCCCAACAGAGACACAAGGTGGTGTAGTTACTCCACATGGGGCAGGAGAAAACCCAGCAGTGGCCCAGGAATGCCGGGGAATTTCCCAGGAGCTTTGGGGCAGGGATAAAGGGGTTCTGAAGGAGTGTTTTAGGGTGGCCAGGGTGGGCTCTTCTGGCAGACAGCGAGATGAAGGGCCTGAGAGCAGGAACTCTCTCTGCTTTTGTCTAGGGAGCAGCAGGAGAAACCGGCCCTATGGGGGAGAGAGGTCACCCAGGCCCCCCGGGGCCCCCTGGAGAGCAGGGACTACCTGGGACAGCTGGAAAAGAAGGAACAAAGGTCAGTGAGGGGCCAGGCAGAGGGGAAGTGGGGGAGCTGGGGATTGGGGTGCTGAAAGGAACAGGTAGTTGGAGATTTGAGGGGGGGCTGGAGAGCTCTCTGTTTAATTTGGGAGCATGGCTGTGGCTCATCACCTCTCCTTTCCTTTTAGGGTGACCCTGGTCCCCCTGGGGCCCCAGGGAAGGATGGTCCTGCTGGTCTGAGGGGATTCCCAGGAGAGAGAGGCCTCCCAGGCACTGCTGTGAGTGTGACTCCCAGACCCCTGCCTGTCACAAGCACCAAGCATCCTGAGTCCCCCCCCCGACCCTGTCCCTGACCCCCTCCATGTCACTCCCCACTTCCATCTTTTGGAGCCTGTCTTCCCTCTCCAGCTCTCACCCTTCTCTTTTCGTGAAGTCTCATCTTCCCCAAATGTCTGGTTCATAGGGTGGACCTGGTTTGAAGGGGAATGAAGGTCCGTCTGGCCCCCCTGGCCCTGCAGTGAGTCTGGGGTTCCGGAAGTGGTAGGAAGGACCCGGGAAAGGGGTGGGTGAGGAAGGGTGGGAGTGGCATTCTGATACCACCAGGGGCTGTGGGGCTGGGCAGAGGCTGTCCAGGGACAGCCAGAATGCATCTGATTTTGGGAGCTTTTGGGAATTGTGGTCCGAGGTTCTCTGGTATGGGCGGGCTGGTGTCTCCTTCCTGGGGGTCTGACCATCTGCTTTCTCAGGGCTCCCCTGGGGAACGAGGTGCAGCAGGATCAGGGGGACCCATTGGTCCGCCAGGGCGCCCAGGCCCGCAGGGTCCCCCTGGAGCAGCAGGAGAGAAAGGTGTCCCAGTGAGTGTGGGGGTCTTGGGGAGGGGTACTGGGGAGGGGTCTGTGAGCCTAGGGTTGATGGGCTATGACAAGTTTCCTGTGGGGTGTTTGAGGGTGAGGGTCACCTCCAGGCCATGACTCCTTCCTCCTGTCCCACAGGGTGAGAAGGGCCCCATTGGCCCAACTGGCCGAGATGGAGTGCAGGGTCCTGTGGGGCTTCCTGGTCCTGCTGGGCCTCCAGGTGTGGCTGGAGAGGATGGAGACAAGGTGAGGGGACCCCACAGACCCCGACCAATCTTCTTTCCAGATGAGATGGCTGACCTGGGCATGACCCCTGGCCCCTGTCATGTCATCCTTCCCACTCTACCCATCACCTTTCTCTAATATCTTGTCTGCCTTCTCCTCCCAGGGTGAGGTGGGGGACCCCGGACAGAAGGGCACCAAAGGGAACAAGGGTGAACATGTAAGTGTCCATGACCTTGACTTCTGACCTCCTGGCCTTTAACCTCAGTCCCACCTGATCTCTCTCCCTGTTTTGGTGTCTCTGACTCTCTTTTCTTACCCAGGGCCCTCCTGGACCCCCTGGACCCATTGGTCCTGTGGGGCAGCCTGGAGCAGCGGTGAGTGACCCCTCCACCCCCACCGAAGGCCCAGCAGCCTCTGGTCCTCCCTCAGCTCCCCTCTGCCCTTGTGGCTGGGAGTGGGAGCAGGGGCTCTGGGCCTGGCACCCAGCTGTGTGTGGTATTTGTGGATAGAGAACACCGACCCATGACCCATCCCTGTGTCCTTGTCTCTGCTTTCCCTCAACCCTGCAGGGAGCAGATGGGGAGCCTGGAGCTCGGGGACCCCAGGGACACTTTGGAGCCAAAGGTGATGAAGGAACAAGAGGATTCAATGGGCCCCCAGGACCCATTGGCCTACAGGTGTGTTGGGGGATAGGACAGGGGCTGAGAGGTGGGGTCAGGATGGGGTGATGTTTTGCCCCAGACTCTGCCAGCAGCCTGCCGATGCGGACTGGAGGGCCTGCGGAGTCTGAGGGGAGGGGACTGTGGGGCCTATCTGCCTAGGGCTGTGCTTTGGGTGGGGTCGTCACCTGGGCCCATGTTTTGTATACTTGCACAGGGTTTGCCAGGCCCCTCTGGGGAGAAGGGAGAAACAGGAGATGTGGGTCCTATGGTGAGTGTGACCCCTACTGACCCTAGCCACCATACTAGTCACCCCCCTCCCTGGCCAGCCCCCACCCCACACCCCACTGCCAACTCCCTGGCCTGGCTGCTCCTCCTCCTCTCTCCACCATTCATGCTCAGCCATCTCACTTCCCTTCCTCATCTGTGGTGTATCTGTTTCCCCCAGGGACCACCTGGCCCCCCAGGACCTCGAGGTCCAGCTGGACCCAATGGCGCTGATGTGAGTCATCTCAGCCCCTGTCCCTTGAGACCAATGTGTCTGGTCTTCTGCCTCCCTTTCCCAGACCATAAACTCTAGTATCGTCTCAGGGGCCAAGAGAAGCCCTTACTCCCGGGAGGCCTCCACTGCCTCACTGCTGTAACCTTGGGCTGCTCATCTGGGACTTTGCCCCTGAAATGGCACCTCCATCCTAAGCAATGACACCTATTTCTGTTCCTCTTCCAGGGCCCACAAGGTCCCCCAGGAGGTGTTGGGAACCTGGGTCCCCCTGGAGAGAAGGTAACTGGGAAGGGGGTGAGTGGACCAGTCATGGAAGTGGGGGATGGGAGTTGGATTTCTGCCAATTTTGGGTGGGGAGACAAAAGAGAATGAGATATGGGGAATATCAGAATTTTTTGGCTGGGGAAGGAGAGAAGGTTTTTGACTCTAATCTCTTTGCAGGGGGAACCAGGAGAGTCAGGATCTCCAGGGATCCAGGGCGAGCCAGGTGTCAAGGTGAGTGACAGCTCCAAGGCCTTACTCCCCAGTCCCCGTCACCCGCCTCAACCCTGCCTCCACTTTTCCTGTGACCTCCTTGAGCTGGAACTCCTCTGCAGCAAGAGTCTCTGCTCCCTGCCATCCTCTATGAGGCCTGATCCCTGGTCTGAGTGAGCCCTTCTTCCCCTTTCTTGAAGGGAAGGGGACTAGGGAACTCCCCTTATAGGCTTGACTTTCTGTGTATGTCCCATTGTCACTGAGGGGAGTAGGGGATGGCTGAAGGTGTCTCGGAAGCAGAGGCTGCATCCCTGATCTTCAAGATTCCCTGGGCCATCTGTGTCCTCCGCTTGTTCTGCAGGGTCCACGCGGGGAACGTGGAGAGAAAGGAGAGTCGGGGCAGCCAGGAGAGCCAGGGCCACCAGGGCCTAAAGGCCCCACAGGCGATGATGGCCCCAAAGGGAACCCTGTGAGTTTGGGGCAGTGGGGGCTGAGTCCTCTCAGGCCCTGTGAATGACAGACCTGGGAATATGGGTGTGTGTGAGGGAGGATCTTGGAGTGTGGGGAGCCCGGGAGTTTGGGGGATGCTCTGGGAATGGGGCATCCAGAGGGATGCCTGGGGTCTAGGATCCGGAGAGAAAGTGAGAGATGCCCTGCAGTTAATACCTTGAGGAATTAGACAACACGCAGTGCACGTGGTAGGGAAAGGGGTGCAGGAGACCTCTTCCTGGGGGGTACTGGTGGGCACTGCCTCTAGAGAGGCAGTGGCGTGTGCCTGTGGGCGTCTGTGCTGGGTGGGCTTAGGGAGCTGTGACCCTGACTCTTATTCTCCATCTGGATCAGGGTCCTGTTGGTTTTCCTGGTGACCCTGGCCCCCCTGGAGAAGGTGGCCCTCGGGTGAGTCTTACTCAGAGAAGGGAAGGGGCAAAAAGGGTGGGGCTTCTATGGGGGGGTCCTCTGTGTGGCCGCTGGGCTTGGGTATTGGGAAGCTGGGGGTATGGCAGGGTGGGCAAGGGGATGGGGTATTGACAGTTTTGGAGGTGATGCCAGCCAAGTTGGGGGCCCACCTCTGACCTTGCTTCACTTCTGCAGGGCCAGGATGGTGCTAAGGGTGACCGAGGCGAGGATGGTGAGCCAGGACAGCCTGTGAGTGCCTGGTGACCCCACCACCCCCCTGAGCCCAAGCCTCATCCTCTTTACCCCTCTTCTGTGCCCCACTCCTGAGGGGTCCCTTGGCTGGAGGATAAACACTCAGCCACCCCAATTCCTCTCTCCCTAGGGATCCCCTGGTCCCACCGGGGAGAATGGACCCCCAGGGCCACTTGGAAAGCGAGTAAGTGAGGTGGACCCCTGAGACCTTGGGAGGCAGTCCCTGGGCTGTGTGGGTGGAGGCTGGGCAATGGCAGGTGGGATGGGTGGGGAGGTGCCTGGTGTCTGCATTGCCCTGGGTGTGTGTGTGTGCAGGAGCTGGTGGGTTTAAGGGTGTGTGGTATCTCATTGCCCGGGGCAGGGTGTGTGTGCAGGAGCTGGTGGGTTTAAGGGTATGCGGTATCTCATTGCACTGGGCGAGTGTGTGTGCAGGAGCTGGTGGGTTGATGGGTGTGCGGTATCTCGGGCATGTTTGTTCCTGGGTTCTGGTGTGTATGTTTTCACCAGGGGTAGTGGTGGTTACTGACAAAGCAGAATGGAAACTGGAGGAGGGGCTGGCCAGCTTTTCTGTGGGCCAGGGGTGAACCTTTTTAGTTTCTGGGGCAGGAGACGGGCCACCAGGTAGGGTGTGGGCAAGTGGCCCTTCACCAAATGTACAGACTACCCAGTATTTTCACAACTGTCACAGCTGTATCTGTTCTGCACATCTGTGAATCGGCCCTCGGCGCGTGTCCCTGTGTATGCACGTGTGTGTGTGCATGTGTATGTGTGTGTCTAGGACAGGAAGGGGGAAGAGTTGAGCCTGGCTGCCCACGGCCTCATGTGCTCTTCCTTCCCACTCCACCTGCAGGGTCCTGCTGGCTCGCCTGGTTCCGAGGGGCGACAAGGAGGGAAGGGAGCCAAGGTGAGGGACAGGCTGCCCTAGTGCTGGAGCATCCCCTCCGCCTCCCACCCCTCAGATGCCTCCGTCTCCAGATGCCCACCCCATCTCCACCTCTCCCATGTTGGGCCCTTATGGGGACAGGCGTTCCCTGTACTTGTTCCTGCGCTAGGGGCTCCTAGAGTTTGGCCCTTCCTCCCTGCCTCCCACCTCCCACCTTGGACCCTCTGCCCCCTGCCCACACCCCACTCCTCTGCCATTCAGGACACATTCCTTGTGTGTGTTTCAGGGAGATCCTGGCGCTATAGGTGCCCCGGGGAAGACAGGCCCGGTGGGTCCTGCAGGCCCAGCAGGGAAACCTGGCCCTGATGGTCTGAGGGGGCTCCCAGGCTCAGTGGTGAGTCACTGCAGGGAAGGGCTGGGCTGGGGTGGGAGTGAGGGGCCATGGGAGGGGTGCAGTGTGGGGATGCTCCTCCTGACCCCTGTGGCCCCCTCAAATCTTCAGGGTCAGCAAGGCCGACCTGGAGCTACAGGCCAGGCTGGGCCCCCAGGTCCTGTGGTGAGTGACTGGGATTGGGCTGAGTGAGGGGTGAGGGCAGTGCCCTGGGACAGAGCTGAAGCCCTGGAGGAAGTGGAGGCTGTTGGGGAGAACTTGGTCCCACCTCTCCCTTAAGAGAATGACTTCCCATCTCTCCACAGGGACCCCCAGGGCTGCCTGGTCTCCGGGGCGATGCTGGAGCCAAGGGAGAGAAGGTGAGTGACAGACAGACACGTGGCCAGGTGTCTCTCCCATCACCCTCGCCCCTGAAACCTGTGGGACCCAAGTGCCCACTGCTCTGCTTCAGGCCTCCGGCAGCCAGTCCCAGGGAGTCCCTGCTCAGTGAGGGCCACTCACGGACCCTGTGCCCGGCTCCCTCTCCATGTCCTCTTGGCCCTTCTCCCCCATCCACATGACTCCTCTTTGCATTCTCTTGACTGCCTGCACCCTTCTCTAGGGCCACCCAGGTCTCATTGGACTGATTGGGCCCCCGGGTGAGCAGGGAGAGAAGGGAGATCGGGGACTTCCTGGGCCTCAGGGCTCCCCTGGGCAGAAGGGTGAGATGGTGAGTAGAGGGCATGGTCCCGGAAGTTGTGGGGGTTGAGAGTGGGGTGGAGAGGGGTGGAGTTGGAGTTGGGACTCAGCTGTGGGTAAGCGAGCAGGTGCTCATGAGGGTGTGGGAGGAGGACCCAGTTGAACCAGCCACTACCCTTCCTAGGGTATCCCAGGAGCATCCGGCCCCATTGGTCCTGGAGGTCCCCCCGGCCTCCCCGTGAGTACTGCCTCTGTTCCTCCACAAAATCCCCTAAACCCCTCTGCTGCCCACCCACAGCCTCCCAACGACTTCCATGGAACTACCAGCCTAACAAGCATAGTCCTCAGGGTCCCCCATTTGTCCTGTCACCACCAGTACCTCCTCCCCATACTTCCAGGGCTCTGAATGTCCTAGTATTCCCACAGGACTGCCCCTCCTGTAGTAACCCGAGGCTCCTGTGGACTTGGGACCTTGCCTCCCCGCTCCTCTGAGTCCTGTCCTTCCCCTGCAGTGACCGTCTCTTTCTTGTTCCTCATTTCACAGGGACCTGCTGGCCCCAAAGGAGCCAAAGGAGCCACAGTGAGTGACCCCCTTCAGCTCTGACCTTTGCTCCACCCCCTCTGGACTTGATGATGTCTCTCCAGGACAAATAGACTCCCCCCAAGGAGCCCCTTATTCCAGCCAGGAGGCTGATTTGATCTTTCTGTGACCTTGATCCATGCTTGACCTCTTGACCCCTCCATGACCTGATTTATTCCTTGTCAGGGCCCAGGCGGACCCAAGGGAGAGAAGGGTGTGCAGGGCCCTCCAGGACACCCGGTGAGTGAGGAGTCAGGGCTGCTCCCAGGGCCGTACCCCTCTGCTCCACTGCTGCCACACTTCACCCTCACACCAACCTTGTCTCTTGCCCTCTCCATCTGTCCCTGCACCCAGGGTCCCCCAGGCGAGGTGATCCAGCCACTGCCCATTCAGATGCCCAAGAAGACTCGGCGCTCGGTGGATGGAAGCCGTCTGATGCAGGAAGATGAGGCCATACCGACCGGGGGAGCCCCCGGCAGTCCTGGGGGGCTGGAGGAGATCTTTGGCTCACTCGACTCCCTGCGGGAGGAGATCGAGCAGATGAGGCGGCCAACAGGGACCCAGGACAGCCCTGCTCGCACCTGCCAGGACCTGAAGCTGTGCCACCCAGAGCTTCCCGATGGTCAGTGCTAGCCTCAGGGTGCACAAACATCTCCCCAACAGCATGGGTACTGAACAAGCAGAATGGATGCTGGGGGAGTCTTGGTGAAGGTGTTGGGTTAAGGGTGAGGGCTGAGGGGCTGGGAACTGCAGCTATTTACTAACCAGGTCAGAAGTATCCCAATACTTTAGCAACTGATCTGGGTCAGTGTGTACCAGTTGGTTATCAGCCCAGTGTCTGCAGGAGCAGATAAACATACATACGTGCACACACCTGTTTGCACCTGAACAGATGAATCTGTGTGAGCGCCTGCAACCACATGTTGTCCCAGTATGAGGCTGTCCATACTCGGACCTCCTCCAGTCAGAGGGCCTGGGGTTACTGTTGGGGGCAGAGGTGTCACGTGATGAAAGTGAGCTGCAGCAGTAGGATGCTGCAGTAGAATCCAGCAGTAGGGCTAGATTCTAGGGCTCTGGGAGGGAGGAGGACCAGGAGACTAAGAGCATGATGGGGAGGGCTGGGAGGGAAGAGGGAATGTGGGGGCAAAGAGCATCTTGGAGCCTGGACCTAGGTGGCCCTGACCTCCCCTCTCCCTCACCCAACAGGAGAGTACTGGGTCGACCCCAACCAGGGCTGTGCTCGGGATGCCTTCCGAGTTTTCTGCAACTTCACAGCAGGGGGTGAGACCTGTGTGACGCCTAGGGATGACGTCACGCAGGTGAGAGCTGGCCCCTCGCTGCCCCTCCCCTGCCCCATAGTGCACCCCCTCAGGGCTTAGTGGTTTCTGGGTTTTGGTGACAGTCCCCTGGCTGTTGCCCCCCCCGGAGCCTGCCACCCCTTCTCCACTTCTTAGCTCTTTCTTCTTTTCCTTTTCACCGGTCCTCTGATGCTCACTTTGCCTTTCGTGTACCCCCAGTCTCCTGGCTCCCACTCAGCCCCTCACTTCTTTCCCAGCCCTTGCCTTCCAGCCATTCCCTGCTCATGACTCTGGCTCAGCTGTCCTGGTGCTGTAGATGCTCCTGAGGCCCGTCTCTGTCTCCCTCTGAGGCCAGCCCTCTCTCTCCCCCTCTGAGGCCAGCCCTCTCTCTCCTTCCAGTTCTCTTACGTGGACTCAGAGGGCTCCCCAGTGGGTGTGGTCCAGCTCACCTTCCTGCGGCTGCTCAGCGTCTCAGCCCACCAGGACGTCTCCTACCCCTGCTCTGGAGCAGCCCGTGACGGTCCCCTGAGACTCCGTGGGGCCAATGAGGATGAGCTGAGCCCGGAGACTAGCCCCTATGTCAAAGAATTCAGAGATGGCTGCCAGGTGGGAACAGGAAGAGCTGGGTTGGGGGCTGATCTCAGACTCAGGCTGGAGGAAGGAGGTGGGAAGACCCCTTGGGCAGGGCACCCAGGGGGAGCAGGGAGGAGTCCGTCCTGCTGGATTGTCAGGGATGCCTGAGGGAGCTCAAAAGCCGGTGAGGAAGGTGGAAAGGATGGAAGCCATCGGGTGAGGTTCACTTGGGTACAAACACCAGCGTCACACAGGTTAATGCAGACGTGTACACAGACTGGCACATGGCTGCCCAGCAGAGGCACACGGTGGGGGAGAAGCAAACACACACGCATGGGCACACAGACACTGCCAGTCTGTACATCCTGAGTCACCCTGATGGGGCCAAGGTGCTCAGAGGAGAGGTGAGCCTGGGCCTGAGGTTAGAGGGTGGGGGGTGCCTCCATCCTGCTCACACTTTCTTCCTTGTCTCCCCCTGAAGACACAGCAAGGCCGGACGGTGCTGGAGGTGCGAACGCCTGTGCTGGAGCAGCTGCCAGTGCTGGATGCCTCCTTCTCAGACCTGGGAGCCCCACCGAGGCGGGGAGGGGTGCTGCTGGGGCCTGTCTGCTTCATGGGATAGGACCGTCTCTGTCTGATCCTGTCCATTCGGAACCAGGCCCACCTGGAATCCCACAACATCAGCTCTGTGCCACCTCCCAAGAGGGCTCCTCACTATCTAGGGAGCCCTGGGCCAGGGCGTGGAGAGCCCTCAGTCGGGGCAGGCCAGGGGAGGGGTGAAGTGGTTGCCTGGACACCCCACGGGAGGAGTGGCATCTGGGGCTCTTGGCCCTCCCACCTGGAGCCTGTTACCCGTTAGAGAGCTGAGACCCTTATTTAAAACTCACCTCCCAATCACCCCAAACAAATGGAAGAGAAGAGAAAGGACATGGCGTATTTTGTATTTAAAAGTAATTGTATTAATTATTTAAAGTGTGGAAAGCAAAATAACAAAAAAGAGAAACGCCAACAAAAATCAGCAGATGTTGAAGACAGGGGTCTCGGGGGTGGGCTCCGGCACCCACATCCTGGAGTCAGGACTTTCCTCAGTGACTGTGTGTAGGGGGGTTTCAGGGCTGAACCCCACCTCCCTCCCACCTTCCTCCCACCTCACCTGTCGCACCCACTGTGAAAGTTGGAATATGTGGTCTCCCTGGCCTCAGGGCTCTGACTCTGCCAGGGTGGGGCTCTCTAACCCACAGGTGTTGGCTGCCTGGCCCATGTGCCCACTGTCTCTTCCACTTGGTCTGGGTTTGGCAGGCACTGCCTGCTACTTGAGGGCCAGGATGCTCCCCCAGGGAAGAAACGGAATAGTGTGGGGTGTGTGCAGGGCTGCATCCCGCAGATGGCTGGAATATTAAAATTCTTCTATATTGGCTGGTAAATTGCCATGGCCCTGAGCCACTGAGTATGTTCATTGCCACCCCTGTCCCTCCCCTGGGCACCCCTCACTTTCCCTGATCCTGCAATTAAAGGGTTAATGTGTGGCATATGGAAGGGACTCCCAGGACCCTGTGCCCAGCTTCCATGCTGACTGATGGTTAAATAATGTGATTGTCTCCTCCCAGGTGTCTGTGTCACTGCTTGTGTTGTTATTTCAGTCTCCCCCGACACCCATCTGATGCTTCCTCTTCCCAGCTAAGTGGTTACCAGAATTGTATGGCTTAATCCAGATACCCTGCAAGCCCTGTCCAGCTGGGGTGTCAGGGCCCAGAGTTTACAAAGCCTGGGTGACTAGCATAAAATTACAAACAATGCCCCAGGGACACCAGGTAGGGGTTTGGGGTCCCTATGGCTCCAGTTTCTGACACCGGTGTGCGATTGCTTCTGGGTGTGGGTGGGACGGTGCTACATAGCCCAGTCTAATCTCTGTAAATGGGGAGGCTGAGGCCCACTTCCAAGACATTTACTGCATCTGTACCTCTGGTCACCTTATCCCTCCCCATCAGCCTTGTGCTGTGCTGTCATGAAGACAGGGCTGTGGCC
>NT_167249.2:3155401-3191898 GCF_000001405.40 Homo sapiens | reverse complement strand
GGCCAGGCTGGTCTCAAACTCCTGATCTCGTGATCTGCCCACCTCGGCCTCCCAAAGCGCTGGGATTACAGGCGTGAGCCACCACACCTGGCCTGATTTCCTCATCTTCTAAAAAAAAATTTTTTGGCCCAGGCGTGGTGGCTCACGCCTGTAATCCCAGCACTTTGGGAGGCAGGTGGATCACCTGAGGTCAGGAGTTTGAGACCAGCCTAGCCAACATGGTGAAAACACATCTCTAATAAAAATACGAAAATTAGCTGGGTGTGGTGGCGGGTGCCTATAATCCCAGCTACTCAGGAGGCTGAGGCAAGAGAATTGCTTGAATCCAGGAGGTGGAGGTTGCAGTGAGCTGAGATCACACCATTGCAATGCAGCCTGGGCAACAAGAGCAAAACTCAATAAATAAATAAGAAAGATTTTTTTTTTTTGCCATTTATTTGTCAAAGAAACCAGCTCAGTTGTCCTACAGAATTTTTCACATTTAGGAGTTGGCTGATTGGGTGGAGATTGACACATCCTCTCTGCCCATATTTCTTGTAAACTGATAGATCTAGAGGCGGAATCAGCTTCAGGTGCCAAGAAGACTTGACAGTGGGTGCAAGTGCTTCTGGCCACATCACATCAGGATGCATGGAACATCTAATCTGGTCATTTTTCTTGTTAGTGATAAGATTGACCAGTGGGTTCAGGTGATGTCAGCCTGAACCTTTCATATAAAGTTTCTCATGAGCTTTGTGTCTAGTGTTTTTAGCAACCATTGGTGGTCTTGCCTGTTTATGAACATCATAAAAGGGGTATCAAAGTATGTTTATCTTCTGGTACTTGCTTTTTGTTTTTTAACTTAATATCACATTACCAAGATCTGTGCACATTGCTGTCTGTAACTTTTTCACTGCTGTGTAATATTCCATGCACCCTCTCTTTATGTGGCCCTTTGTCTCCTCTGCTACCCACACTTATCCCCAGCAGCCATCCGTGGGTAGTGGCGGGGGGCAATGGTGGTGGTGGTTTTCTTTACTCACCTCATTGTCTGAGTCCTGGGGGTTGGATATGTCTGTTCTGCCTCTCTCCCAGTCTGAAGTTGAAGCTCTAACTGAACAACTAAGTGAAGAGGAGGAGGAGGAAGAGGAGGAAGAAGAAGAAGAGGAAGAGGAGGAGGAAGAGGAAGAAGAAGAGGAAGATGAGGAGTCAGGGAATCAGTCAGATAGGGTAAGAGACGGAGGCTGATATCTCCAGAGGAGTGGGAGACTATGGGGCTGGAGGTCTGGTCCTGAAGGTGTTGGGGGGGCCCCTGGGGGTGAGGGTTCCTAACTCCTCCTCCTCCCCCTTCCCAGAGTGGTTCCAGTGGCCGGCGCAAGGCCAAGAAGAAATGGCGAAAAGACAGCCCATGGGTGAAGCCGTCTCGGAAACGGCGCAAGCGGGAGCCTCCGCGGGCCAAGGAGCCACGAGGTGAGGAGGCTCTGCTGCTTTTGGGTGCCCTCCAGCCCCCGCCCGGCCCCCCAGAGTGTGTGCACGCACACACACGCTCTCGCATGTCCACCTGCATGTACCCACGCGTCCAGGCACCTGTGAGCTCGCACTCTCACTCTCTCTGTCTCTGTGTCAGGAGTGAATGGTGTGGGCTCCTCAGGCCCCAGTGAGTACATGGAGGTCCCTCTGGGGTCCCTGGAGCTGCCCAGCGAGGGGACCCTCTCCCCCAACCACGCTGGTAATTGCCAATTGCCGGGACAGGGAGCCACTAGGGGGCGACCTCAGGGCAGGAGGGAAAGGGAAGGAGGGGAACCACGCCAGAGCCGGGGTGTCCATGGCCAGGCTTTAGGGGTTCTGGGGCATGGCGGGGTGGGGTAGGGAGGGAGTGAGAGGACCCGCCAGGGGTCCCAGTAGGTGAGGTGCAGAGCCTCCCTCAGCTCCTCTTTTCCTCCATCCAAGGGGTGTCCAATGACACATCTTCGCTGGAGACAGAGCGAGGGTTTGAGGAGTTGCCCCTGTGCAGCTGCCGCATGGAGGCACCCAAGATTGACCGCATCAGCGAGAGGGCGGGGCACAAGTGCATGGCCACTGAGAGTGTGGACGGAGAGGTGGGGCCGTGGGCTGGTGGGAGAGGTGCCAGGGCGTCCAGTCCCCGGCCCCAGCCTCACGCTCTCTTCTCACCCATCCTCACTGCGCACAGCTGTCAGGCTGCAATGCCGCCATCCTCAAGCGGGAGACCATGAGGCCATCCAGCCGTGTGGCCCTGATGGTGCTCTGTGAGACCCACCGCGCCCGCATGGTCAAACACCACTGCTGCCCGGGCTGCGGCTACTTCTGCACGGCGGTGAGTGACCAGTGGGGCAGACAGGTAGCATGCCCTGTGGCAGAGGGGGCCCCAGTAACCTGACCATGTTGTTTCCCTGCTCCCAGGGCACCTTCCTGGAGTGCCACCCTGACTTCCGTGTGGCCCACCGCTTCCACAAGGCCTGTGTGTCTCAGCTGAATGGGATGGTCTTCTGTCCCCACTGTGGGGAGGATGCTTCTGAAGCTCAAGAGGTGACCATCCCCCGGGGTGACGGGGTGACCCCACCGGCCGGCACTGCAGCTCCTGCACCCCCACCCCTGTCCCAGGATGTCCCCGGGAGAGCAGACACTTCTCAGCCCAGGTACTGGCCTCCCCCTTCTGTACTGTCTGTTCCCTCCCCCACCCCTATTGCTCCTGGACATGAGCTCCTTCTTCCACAGTGCCCGGATGCGAGGGCATGGGGAACCCCGGCGCCCGCCCTGCGATCCCCTGGCTGACACCATTGACAGCTCAGGGCCCTCCCTGACCCTGCCCAATGGGGGCTGCCTTTCAGCCGTGGGGCTGCCACTGGGGCCAGGCCGGGAGGCCCTGGAAAAGGCCCTGGTCATCCAGGAGTCAGAGAGGTGAGTGGGGAGTTGCTCAGGCACAGCAACTGGGGCTGAGGCCAGAGGAGTGGTGTCGAGGCTGATGCTGGAATCTGAGGAGCTCCCCTTCTCTCCCCGCTCCCGTGCTCCCTTGGCAGGCGGAAGAAGCTCCGTTTCCACCCTCGGCAGTTGTACCTGTCCGTGAAGCAGGGCGAGCTGCAGAAGGTGATCCTGATGCTGTGTGAGTGCCACCCATTCCTTCAGCAGACCTTGACCAAGCTTCATGTATATACCAGGCACTGGGTACAGGGCCAGGAGTACAGTCGTGAAGGACACAGTCCTTGCCCTGAAGGACTTAGTGTGGTGGGGAAAAGACACATGTAACCCATAACGATGGGGATGTGGTGACTCATAGGTGCTGGGTCCTGTTCTGAGTGCTTATACCTGTTAGCCTTGGCTTGCACAGAGAGGTTAGGGACCTTGCACAGTGCACAGTGGTACTGAGAAGCAAGGCAGGGTTTGAATTCAGGCAGAGCTGATGCCTTTGACTCCTTATTCTGATAAATGCTGTGGTGGAGGCAAGCTCGGAGAATGCCAGGAGGGGCCCTGATCCAGCTTGGGGCCCTGAGAAGCCTTCCTGAAAGAAGTGCCACCTGCCCCCTAGCTTGCTTACCACTTGTCCCTCCCTCTCCCGGTGTGGCGGGCTCTCCCCGCAGTGGACAACCTGGACCCCAACTTCCAGAGCGACCAGCAGAGCAAGCGCACGCCCCTGCATGCAGCCGCCCAGAAGGGCTCCGTGGAGATCTGCCATGTGCTGCTGCAGGTCAGCACGGGCCCGGCCCCATGCCTCATTCACCAGGCCCTTAGGCCCCTCCCCTGCCCCATGCCTCCCTGGTGCCAGCCCTCCTGCCCCCTCACAGGCTGGAGCCAACATAAATGCAGTGGACAAACAGCAGCGGACGCCACTGATGGAGGCCGTGGTGAACAACCACCTGGAGGTAGCCCGTTACATGGTGCAGCGTGGTGGCTGTGTCTATAGCAAGGTGTGCGCGCAGGCAGCAGGGCGTGGCCCCCGGAGTCAGGGACCAGGTTTGGGGTGCCAGCCCAAAGGCTCATTTGCCCGTGTCTCCCTCAGGAGGAGGACGGTTCCACCTGCCTCCACCACGCAGCCAAAATCGGGAACTTGGAGATGGTCAGCCTGCTGCTGAGCACAGGACAGGTGGACGTCAACGCCCAGGTCAGCGGCCCACCCAGCCCAGCCCCTCTGGGTCCCTGGTGCCTGGGTTCCTTGGCTTGGCCTCAGGCTTTGGGCCGCCTTTCCTACATCTGACCTCACACTGCTCGTGTCTGTCCTCATTGCTTTCTTCTTCCTCATTTGTATTTCTCTTCATTCTTTTCTTTCTCGTTTCTTTCTCTTTATCAAGTTTCAGAATAATCAGTTCCTGTCTTAATCTCTGAAAGTGTCCAGTGAGGCTTTTTATTAACTCTTGGGTTGTCATACATTGGATGTGTTTTAGTCATTTATTGGCATTCTTCTCAGTCTTTGAATTATTCCATCATTGTCCAGAAGAAGCCCCTTTAAGAGGCCTCTGTGGCTGTGACATGACCCAGTGGCCCAGTGGCCTTTGAGAGCCTCCTGACCTTTCAGCACATTTCCTGCCCCCAACTCAGAATCCACCATTTCTCTAAGAAACTCTGCTTCCTTTATGGGAAACTTTTTTTTTTTTTTTTGAGACGGAGTCTCACTCTGTTGCCCAGGCTGGAGTGCAATGGCGTGATCACAGCTTACTGCAAGCTCCGCCTCCCAGGTTCACGCCATTCTCCTGCCTCAGCCTCCCGAGTAGCTGGGATTACAGGCGCCCACCACCATGCCCGGCTAATTTTTGTATTTTTAGTAGAGACGGGGTTTCACCATATTGGCCAGGCTGATCTTGAACTCCTGACCTCGTGAGCCACAGCGCCCGGCCAGAAGCATTTTTTAGAGAATACAATCTATGTTCCTAGGAGTGTTTATTGTTATTGGGTTGTCGCTGCTTCTAGGACTTTTGAGTGGGCAGACTTAGGAAATTTTTGTTCGTTTTTTCTTTTAAGAGACAGGGTCTTGCTATGTCACCCAGGCTGAAGTACAGTAGCAGTTCACAGACAGTCATAGCTCTCTGCAGCCTCGAAATCCTGGGCTCAAGCAACCCTCCCATCTCAGTCACATGAGTAGCTGGGACTACAGGCATGCACCTCCATGACCAGCTCCTGGCTGTATTTTTTGGAAAGAGAACAATTACTTTATTTTCTCTCTGGCATCAGATGGTAGACGCTACTAGTCCCATTTTTGTTTGTTTGTTTTTTGAGACGGAGTCTTGCTCTGTCGCCCAGGCTGGAGTGCAGTGGCACGATCTTGGCTCACTGCAAGCTCCGCCTCCCGGGTTCACGCCATTCTGCCTCAGCCTCCCTAGTAGCTGGGACTACAGGCGCCTGCCACCACGCCCAGCTAATTTTTTCTATTTTTTAGTAGAGACAGGGTTTCACCGTGTTGGCCACAATGGCCTCCATCTCCTGACCTCGTGATCCGCCCGCCTCGGCCTCCCAAAGTGCTGGGATTACAGGCATGAGCCACCGCGCCCGACCCTACTAGTCCCATTTTTTAGATGAAGAAACTGCGACCCAGAGACGTTAAGTGACTTACCCAGGGTCCCACAGCTTGTGAATGGTGGAGCTGGGATTCACACACACAGCCAATCTTGACCATTTGCTGCTTTGGTGAGCAGGGCCAGCTGCCCCCACCCTCACTCCCTTCCCACCCACAGGACAGTGGGGGGTGGACGCCCATCATCTGGGCTGCAGAGCACAAGCACATCGAGGTGATCCGCATGCTACTGACGCGGGGCGCCGACGTCACCCTCACTGACAACGTGAGTGAGCGTTTGGTTGAGGTAGGGCAGCCCCAGGCCCCTGAGCAAGGTGGAGGCTGGATTCAAGGGCCCAGCTGCCTGCACCTCATCTGTTCCCCTCCTACCTCCACAGGAGGAGAACATCTGCCTGCACTGGGCCTCCTTCACGGGCAGCGCCGCCATCGCCGAAGTCCTTCTGAATGCGCGCTGTGACCTCCATGCTGTCAACTACCATGGGGACACCCCCCTGCACATCGCAGCTCGGGAGAGCTACCATGACTGCGTGCTGTGAGCCCCTGCCCCGCCCTTGATGCCCCTGCCCCCACTTCTTGCAGCCTCAGACCCTGCATTGGGCATCCTGTCCCCTCTTCAGGTTATTCCTGTCACGTGGGGCCAACCCTGAGCTGCGGAACAAAGAGGGGGACACAGCATGGGACCTGACTCCCGAGCGCTCCGACGTGTGGTTTGCGCTTCAACTCAACCGCAAGCTCCGACTTGGGGTGGGAAATCGGGCCATCCGCACAGAGAAGATCATCTGCCGGTGAGCCCTGGGCCCCTCTCTGCACCCAAGACCACCTCCTCCCCACCCATACCCTCCCCAGGCTCCATTGCATCCTCACAACATTCCCCAACCCCTCCCCATGCACCACTGAATCCCCAGAACCACCCACAGGCCCCCTCCCCACTAGGGTTGCCAGATACAGCAAATAAAAATAGAAGACACCCAGTTAAACTGGAATTTCAGATGCACAGATGCATACTTTTTTAGTGTGAGAATGTCCTGTGTAATTTTTGGGACATACTAAAAAGCTATTTCTTGTTTATCTAAAATTCTATGTTAACTCGCTGTCCTGCATCTTACCTGGCAACCTTACTCCCCTGCCCCCAGCCCCAGGAACCTCCCCAACTCTCTTCCTTATACCTGGAGTAGCTCCTCACCCCCTTTTCCAGCTTCCCAGCCCCTTCTTCCCGTCTTCTGCAGGGACGTGGCTCGGGGCTATGAGAACGTGCCCATTCCCTGTGTCAACGGTGTGGATGGGGAGCCCTGCCCTGAGGATTACAAGTACATCTCAGAGAACTGCGAGACGTCCACCATGAACATCGATCGCAACATCACCCACCTGCAGGTGAGTAGGGGGCCCGGGGCCTCCCCAAAAGGACACCGAGAGCTGCCAAGTACAGTTGGACAAGCTTCAAACCAGCAAAGGCACCTGGCCAAGGAAGGGTTGGCTGAAAGGGATCCCTGGTGTGGGGTCGCATCCCCACCAGGGGAGGGATCCTTTTCCTAGGTCACAGCAAGGTATCATATGAGCTCCCAGTAGCCCTGGGGACACCACCATACTGATTACCCGTCACCCTAGGACCATCACCACCCACTGTTGTAACACATGGACCCCAAAGAAAGGACAGTGGTTAGGGGGTCAGGGGGCATCAAGAGTAGAGGGGCCCAGACCGATCATGGGGTTGAGCTGACCTCTGCCTCCTCGCCCCAGCACTGCACGTGTGTGGACGACTGCTCTAGCTCCAACTGCCTGTGCGGCCAGCTCAGCATCCGGTGCTGGTATGACAAGGTGCGTGCCCCTTGCCTTGGCCACAGACACCCGGCCCCTCCTTCAGAGGAGCCAGCCTCCAATAAACCAGCTCCCTGGGACCATGTCCCTCACCTCCTACCCTGTGGGGGAAGTGACTGAGAGGACTGGGCAAGGCCTGGGAATCCTGGGATGTGGCTGGGACAGCGATGGGCGTGTGCCCAGGTCTATGCAAACCAGGGATGATGCTCCTGCATTTCGTGCTCTCGGATCTCAGAGCCTGTGTGACCTCCCCAACCCCAACTTCCCTGTCTCTGTAGAGTCTTGGGGTTCCTGGGTGGGCAGCTGAGGTGGGCCCCACAGAGAAACCACTATCCTCCCCTCCGCACCCTAGGATGGGCGATTGCTCCAGGAATTTAACAAGATTGAGCCTCCGCTGATTTTCGAGTGTAACCAGGCGTGCTCATGCTGGAGAAACTGCAAGAACCGGGTCGTACAGAGTGGCATCAAGTGAGGCCCTGCTCCACAGCCCACCCTCTCCCCACCTCACCCTTTCCTCCCTGCCCCTGGGGCTTTTCCAGGGCCTCCACCCAACAGCGCCATCTCTCCTACCCCCAGGGTGCGGCTACAGCTCTACCGAACAGCCAAGATGGGCTGGGGGGTCCGCGCCCTGCAGACCATCCCACAGGGGACCTTCATCTGCGAGTAAGTCACCGGGAGCACCTTAACACCTGGTGGGAAGGGGATACATGGCCACTGCTGACTGCCAGGCCTCCCTCTCAGCCATCTGCCCTGATGAGTCACATGTCTCCATCTGGCCACTCTCCAGCCAGCCTCCTCTGACCCCTATTCCTGCAGCTGAGCAGCCAGCCGCCTCTGACCCCCATCCCCCCAGCTGAGAATGGCACCTGCCTCCACTCTGCCCAGACCACAGAGCTTGTCTTCCCTCCCCTCCACCTCCACCCTCTACCTTCCCCTCCACCCCCTCCTCGCCCTTCCTAGCTGGAGAAAGTGCCAGTTTGGGAGACAAACAGACTTGGGTTTGAGCCCCTCTCTGCTTCTGGATGTTCTTGGCCAAGTTACTTAACCTCTTTGAGCCTTATTTTTCTTGTCTGTAGAGTGGAGGTGATAACAGCTACCTATCTGTCCACCTCCTCAGGGGCCTGTCCCTCTCCATCAGTTCTTTCTCTGCCCAGCATCTGTAATCTCCCCCTTTCTCTTGGCTGCCATCCCACAACCCTCAATCTTACTTTAGTCTCCTTTGGCTCTTTTTTTTTTTTTTTTTTAATTTATTTTTTGAGACGGAGTTTCACTCTTGTTGCCCAAGCTGGAGTGCAATGGCACAATCTTGGCTCACTGCAGTCTCCACCTCCCAGGTTCAAGCGATTCTCCTGCCTCAGCCTCCCAAGTAGCTGGGATTACAGGTGCGCACCACCACACCCGGCTAATTTTTTGTATTTTTAGTAGAAACGGAGTTTCACCATGTTAGCCAGGCTGGTCTCCAACTCCTGACCTCAGATGATCCGCCCACCTCGGCCTCCCAAAGTGCTGGGATTACAGGCGTGAGCCACCGTGCCTGACCATTCTTTGGCCTTTAAAAAAGATAGTCCTCTAACCATACTTGCCTGTTCAACAGACCATCCAGTTTCTTTCCATCATGTCATCTCTCAACTTCTCTGGCAAGCAGCCCCTTCCTGCTGGGCCTCAGTTTCCCCACCATCCACTCACTGCCTGTCCCTGCCAAAATCGGCCTTTGCCCTTCCCACTCTGCTGAAGCTGTCTCTTGACAGTCACTTCCCACCCACGTCCTCTCCGTGTGTCTGAATCTCCCATGTCTGCTCACCCTCCTTAGATAGCTGGCTCCTCTCCTCCCTCTGGTGTCCAGATATGTGTGGGTGCTCTTGCCCCGAATCATGCCTTGAGTTCCTTGCCACTCCTGTACCTCTGGCTCTTCCTGCAGTCCTGGCCCCTCTCCTGTTCCATATCGCCCATTCCTGCCGGGTGGCTCCTGGAACACAAACCTCTCTGTGTCCAAACCCGAACTTCCCCACCCAGGCCAACTGCCCCTACACATTAATCCCCTTAACCACAGAGCTTGTTGTCTGTCTCTGTGCTGACTGAAGGCTTCCTCTGTCAAGGCTGGAATGCTGCCCTTTCACTTGCCCACCACTGCTGCTCCAGGCCTTCCCTTCCCCACACCTGCCAGCCCTGCCCATTCCAGATTCCACAGGCTTGTGAAGAGAGATGGGGCCTGGAGCCACCTCCTAATAGCCCACACTCACCTTCAGAACCATGGATTCCTGTCCCACAGGTATGTCGGGGAGCTGATCTCTGATGCTGAGGCTGATGTGAGAGAGGATGATTCTTACCTCTTCGACTTAGACAACAAGGTGAGCAGGAGACCCTCCTTACCCTGCTGCTCCCCAGGGCTGGCTTTCAGGAGCCTCTGGGAAGTCAGCAAATGGAAACCTGGGGAGGAGGGACTGGGGAGTCAGTGGGTGGGGAGGGCAAGCAGGGTCGGGGGAGATGTGAAGAGTGCCATCCCCCTGCCCCAGGATGGAGAGGTGTACTGCATAGATGCCCGTTACTATGGCAACATCAGCCGCTTCATCAACCACCTGTGTGACCCCAACATCATTCCCGTCCGGGTCTTCATGCTGCACCAAGACCTGCGATTTCCACGCATCGCCTTCTTCAGTTCCCGAGACATCCGGACTGGGGAGGAGCTAGGGTGAGACTCTAGGGGTCTCTAGGGGCTCTGCCAGGGGGTGGGAGATGCAGCAAACCTGGGACCTGAAGGCTGGCATGTACCTGGTGTCCAGGCATGGAGTAGTGCAGAGCTTCTCAGATTTCAGTGTACATAAGTATTTCCTGGAGGACTTGGGGAAACAGTCCTGTGCCTCCCAGAGAGATTTTGAATCAGTAGGCTTGGGATGGGGCCCAGGATTCTGCATTTCTAACAAGTCCCCAGGCAATGCTGATGCTGAAAGTCCATAGAACATACAAGGGGCTCAGATCCCATCTGGAGAAGATAGGTTGGGTGTCGGGTCCCTCTCAGGGAGCAGGATCCACAGGGTCTTCGGGGTGGGCTCTTGGTGGCTGGGTCCAGGTCCCACAAGCTCCTGTTTTCCTCTGACAGGTTTGACTATGGCGACCGCTTCTGGGACATCAAAAGCAAATATTTCACCTGCCAATGTGGCTCTGAGAAGTGCAAGCACTCAGCCGAAGCCATTGCCCTGGAGCAGAGCCGTCTGGCCCGCCTGGACCCACACCCTGAGCTGCTGCCCGAGCTCGGCTCCCTGCCCCCTGTCAACACATGAGAACGGACCACACCCTCTCTCCCCAGCATGGATGGCCACAGCTCAGCCGCCTCCTCTGCCACCAGCTGCTCGCAGCCCATGCCTGGGGGTGCTGCCATCTTCTCTCCCCACCACCCTTTCACACATTCCTGACCAGAGATCCCAGCCAGGCCCTGGAGGTCTGACAGCCCCTCCCTCCCAGAGCTGGTTCCTCCCTGGGAGGGCAACTTCAGGGCTGGCCACCCCCCGTGTTCCCCATCCTCAGTTGAAGTTTGATGAATTGAAGTCGGGCCTCTATGCCAACTGGTTCCTTTTGTTCTCAATAAATGTTGGGTTTGGTAATAAACTGCGATTTTTGTGTTGGGGTGGGGAGAAAGCATACTTGGCTAGAGGGAATGTGGGTCCAAGGGCCAGAATAGGATGGGAAGCAGGCTGGACAGGTGTGGCTGGTGTGATGGCCGCCCAGTGCGGGGCAGGGAGGTGGGGGGCCACTATGAAGATCCAGTTTCACAGGCACGGTGGCTGACACCTATAATCCCAGCACTTTGGGAGGCCAAGGCAGGCGAATCACCTGAGATCAGGAGTTCAAGACCAGCCTGGCCAACTTGGTGAAACCCCATCTTTCAAAATAGAAAAAATTTGCTGGGCGTGGTGGCAGGCACCTGTAATCCTGGCTACTCCAGAGGCTGAGGCAGGAGAACCGCTTGAAGCCAGGAGGCGGAGGTTGCAGTGAGCCAAGATTGAGTCACTGCACACCAGCCTGGGCAACAAGAGCGAAACTCCATCTCAAAAAGGAAAAAACAGGTCCAATTTCCACACTTTAATCTTTGGCGGGAGCGTGTTGGGAGTGTACGGCAGTTAAGGTAGTTTGCGAGATTATAAAGCGTTTTCTTATCAGAGCATGCCAGGTCGTTCACTGTGGTCCGTAGTGCCCCCAGGAAATAGCCCTGAGCCCCCGTCCCAGGCTCCAGCTCCCCAGCCCGCTGGGCACAAAGTTGAGAAGAAGGAACTAGAGTGTGTCGGGGACCACAGGCGGGGGTGGGGCTGTGACGTGTGGGAGGGCGGGGCGGGCAGCAGGTGAGACGCCAGGTCTCCAGGGCTCCAATCACTCCGGAGACTGAGCCATGGGGGGAAAGCAGCGGGACGAGGATGACGAGGCCTACGGTGAGACTGGGGCGAGGCCCGGGACCCTGTGGAGGGAGGGGAGGACGGGTACTTTGGGAATGGTGTCTGGGGCTGGCTCCAGGGAGAGGAACTAAGGAGAGTACTGTGTCCCTGAGGGGAGGGCCCGGGAACCGGGAGCCATGGAGGGAGGGAGTCAGGGTCCTGGGAGGAGGATGGGGCCCGGGGGCTGGGGCTGTTGCTGGGGAGCCCATGGGGAGTGAAGCTGGGTGCCTCTGAAGAGTTGGGGCTGAGGTCCTTGGGAGGAGGGGGGTATTTCAGGCCTGGACTCTGGGTCCCTAAGGGCAGGGCCCTAGGAAACAAAGCCGAGATGGAAGGTGGCAGGTTGGGGCCCTGAGCAGAATAGGGCTGGATGCTGGGAGTGTCCTGTGCTGCAGAGCCTGCAACCAGTGAGGCCAGGGTCCCTGTAAGGAGGAGGAGGTTCAGCCTGGAGTCTGGGTCTCTGAGGGCGAAAGCTGCTTGTGGCCTGCCGGCTCCCTTGAGGAGTGAGGGGACCCTGAGTGGGCTGGCCTCTGCCTGCCAGGGTCTCTGGGAGAAGTGGCAGAGGGAGTGGGTTCTGCTGGGGGTCCCTGTGAGGAGTTGGGGCTGAGGGTCTTTGTGGAAAGGGGGCTGGGGTCCTGCCTAGGGGTCTCTGTGAGGAGCTAGGAGCAGGAGCTGGTCTTGGGGTACTCTGAGGAATAGGGACAGGGCCCCTGGGGTTCCTGTGAAGGGTGAGGCCTGAGGGGAGAAACAGCAGGGAGCCTGTTTCCAGAATCTGCAAGGAAAAGGGGCTGGGGTTCTGAGGAGAGAGGGAGCTGGGGACTGGCCTCCAGATCCCCACGAGCAGTGAAGGCTGGGGACTCACCTGCGGAGGCCCCCCTGGTCTTCTGGTCTGAAGGGGAAGGAACCCCTATGAGGGACCTTCTCGAGGAGAGGCTTGAGTCCCTTAGGGCCATAGGGGAGCAGGCAGTGAGGACTCCCGAGTAGACTTCCTGGAGCGGCTTCAGGTCAATCATTGTCCATGAGCCATGGAGGGACAGAGTCCAGCGCACCTGGGGAAAGTGGACCCCACCCGCTCCTTCCCAGACTCCTGCCCAGCCCTCGGCTCTCCCTCCTCAGTGCCCACAAGGAACCCTGACTGCCCAGCCCTCCTCCTCCCTGTGTGTGTACTCAGGGAGGACCAGGAACTCAACGTGCCTGCAATCTCTATGGCTGGGCTCAGGTGTCACTCTGACTGCTGGCCCAGAGCCCGGAGCACACTGTGGCCAGGGGACTGAGGTCCCACCAGAGTGAGGATGTACAGGGCCGCTTCCCTCCCCAGGCCCTGCTGGGGTTGACACCTTTGTCTCCAGTTTCTTTCCCCATAGCCTTGAACCAGAGGGTAAGGTAGGGCCTGGGGCAGATAGGGGAAGAGGCCATGACCTCCCTGAGGGGCTGTGGGTCTGTGTGGTCCCTGGGGAGGGATTAGGGAGGAGGCAGGGATGAGAATGAGGGAGTGAGAGCCACTGGGAGTCCCACATCCCAGCTAAAGGGAGACTCAGGAGAACCGTGCCAGGGTAGGGCAGGGGACCAAGGCCATTTCCCAGACTGACTGCCTTGAGATGTGAGCCGGAAACTATAAAGGCCTTCCTTCCCCTCCCCATGGCAGCCTGGGTGGAGCTCCCAGGGAGCTGCTGAGCTGCTGACCAGGCCTGGATCCTACCTTTCCTGCTCCCCAGTTTTCCCCTCCTGCCAGTCCTGCCCTAGCCCATCTCCCTCCAAACACCTGAGGCCTGGGTAGGATCCTGGGGCTAGGAGGACTCAGCAGGACAAGATATGCAGAGAGAGACTCATCCTCCACACCTCTTCTCATGTCCCTCAGGGAAGCCAGTCAAATACGACCCCTCCTTTCGAGGCCCCATCAAGAACAGGTGAGCTCTGGGCACTGCTCCGGGGGCTGGCGGGGGTGGTGGGTGCAGTGTGGAATCCAGTATTTGCTTTGTATTTGCTAAAATATTAGTAGGAAACTTGTGAAAAAGAGAAACTCCTGCCCCAGATGGGTGGTGCCCTGGGGGGATTGTTGTGTCTGGAGCAGGCATCGAGGGCTTCCCAGTTCTGGGGGGATGTTCTGTTTCTTGACTTAAGTGCCGGCTTCACAAGCGAGAGAACTCACCCAGCTGAGCCCTTGCGAGTTGTGTGCTTTTCTGTCTTTTACTTCAGAAGAAAGTTTACCCACCCAGAAAAAGGTTTTCTTTCTTTTTGTGTTTTGGAGATGGGGGTTCACTGCAGGCTCGAACTCCTGTGCTCAAGTGATCCTCCTGCCCTAGCCTTCCGAGTAGCTGGGACTACAGGCATGCACCATCACACCAGGCTAATTTCTTTGAGATGGGATCTCACTATGTTGCCCAGGCTGGTCTCAAACTCCTGGCCTCAAGGGATTGCCCTGCCTCAGCCTCCCAAGTAGCTAGTATTACAGTCGTGAGCCACTGTGCCTGGCTAGGTTTTCTAAATAAAATATTTAAAAAAAATTAGCCGGGCAGTAGTGGCACGCGCCTGTAATCCCAGCTACTCGGGAGGCTAAGGCAGGAGAATTGCTTGAACCCAGGAGGCAGAGGCTGCAGTGAGCCAAGATTGCACCACTGCACTCCAGTCTGTGTGACAGAGTGAGACCCTGTCTCAAAATAAAAAAGTAAAAGCAATAAAAAAATAAAAATAAAGCCTACTGATGCCCATGCTGCAGCATCACCCAACTCTCTAACCCTTAACCCCTCCAGACCATAAGCCCTACCTCCCCAAGTCTCCTTAGCTCAGCCTCCCATTTCGTTTCTCTCTCAGAAGCTGCACAGATGTCATCTGCTGCGTCCTCTTCCTGCTCTTCATTCTAGGTTACATCGTGGTGGGGATTGTGGGTGAGTTTCCAGCTGCTCAGAGCCAGGGCAGTGGGTGAGGGACAGGAACCCAGGGAGGGACCATTCCCATAACTGCCCCACTAAGTCCCTGCCCTCCAATGACTCATCTGTGCCTCTGTCTGCAGCCTGGTTGTATGGAGACCCCCGGCAAGTCCTCTACCCCAGGAACTCTACTGGGGCCTACTGTGGCATGGGGGAGAACAAGTGAGTACAAAGGCGAGAAGAGGAGTGCAGGAGCGAGGCGAGGTAGGGTGGGCAGGAGACACCCCCCCAACTCAGGCTCCAGACCTGTCCGTGCTCTTCCACAGCCTTTCCCTGCTGTCCCCACCCCACCTCAGCCTCCCTGAATCTGACAACTCCAGGCCACGTTAAGAACCATTGCTGGACAGTTAGCTTCTTGAGTCCCCCCAGAAATGGGAGGCAGTGGAGAGTCGTGTTAAGTGTATGAGTTTTACAGTTCAGAGATTGGTGTTTGGATCCCCAACTGGACCAAGTTTTGGTTGTGTGGCCTTGGACAAGTTACTCAAGCTCTCTGAGCTTTGATTTCCTTATTTGAAATTCAAGGGGAATTCCAGAAGCAATGCCAACAGTCCTCACATACAGATGTCCAATAAATAATAAAACCTCAAATATTTATATAGCATTTACTATGTTCCAGGCAGGCAGTAAACTTTACACACACAAGCGCATTGAAATCTCATGAGGTAGGCACTACTGTTTTATATGGAGTAGAACTAAGACCGAGAACAGGTGACTTGCTCAAGATCATAAAGATGATATGAAGTTGTGGAGCTCCAAGTTCATGCTCTGAGCTATTTGTCAGCTGCTGCAATGGTGACTTACTCTGAGAGATCTTCTAGGCATCTCCCTACCTCCCCAGCTGAGCTAGGGCCAGGAGCTGGGAGGTGACTGGTATGGGCCACGCTGGGCTGGGCCCACTGTATTCTTGAGAAGCCACCCTAGTGGTCCCTCCCCTCCCCCAACACCTGACCAGGCCCTGATGCACATGGTCCCTCCCCTCCCACAGAGATAAGCCGTATCTCCTGTACTTCAACATCTTCAGCTGCATCCTGTCCAGCAACATCATCTCAGTTGCTGAGAACGGCCTACAGTGCCCCACACCCCAGGTCAGAGCCTGGGACCTGCCTCTACCCCAGATCTCACCCAGGGTCTCAGGTTCCAGCCCCTTAGTGTTCTCTCTGCACCCAGGTGTGTGTGTCCTCCTGCCCGGAGGACCCATGGACTGTGGGAAAAAACGAGTTCTCACAGACTGTTGGGGAAGTCTTCTATACAAAAAACAGGAACTTTTGTCTGCCAGGGGTACCCTGGAATATGGTGAATATTGCCCCTAACCTCATCACTGTCGCCCAGAAGGGCCAGGGTGGGCACGAGAGGGAGGGGGAGTTGGGTAGATCATCACCAGGTTGGCTCTCCTGGGGAGTGTGGGACAGGCTGAGCCCCATGGTGGTGGTGAGGGGACCTGCTTCTTCATCCTGCTCTGTGTCTGTGTGTCTGTCCTTTCACTCCTGCCACAGACGGTGATCACAAGCCTGCAACAGGAACTCTGCCCCAGTTTCCTCCTCCCCTCTGCTCCAGGTGAGAAGCACAGATTCCTTCCTCAGACGTCATCTAGTCCAGTGTTTTCATTGCTTGAATGAAGAAATCAGGCCCAGAGAGAGTGAAGTCACATAGCTTGTTGGTGGCAAAATTGGAATTAGCATCAGGTCTTCATTTTGCTCTTTGTTATGTGGCCTTGCAGTCAGACCATCAGTGTTTTGGGGACCTACTATGTGCCAGGTGCTGGGGACAGAGGCAGGGATAACAACTGCTCCCTGCTTCAGCTACATTCTAGGTGAAGAGATTAGAGTTGTTCACAAAGAGACTGTATGAAAATCTCATGAAAACATACATGGGTGAATCTACACACACATTTTTTTTTTTTAGACGGAGTCTTCCTCTGTTGCCCAGGCTGGAGTGCAGTGGCGTGATCTCGGCTCACTGCAACCCCCGCCTCCCGGGTTCAAGCGCTTCTCTGCTTCAGCCTCCCGAGTAGCTGGAATTACAGCACATGGTGCCCGCCACCACGCCCGGCTAATTTTTATTTTTATTTTATTTATTAAATTTATTTATTAAATTTGTATTTTTAGTAGAGACGGGGTTTCACTATCTTGGCCAAGCTGGTCTTGAACTCTTAACTTCGTGATCCACCCACCTTGGCCTCCCAAAGTGCTGGGATTACAGACATGAGCCACCACGCCCAGCCTGCACACATATCATTTTTATATATGCACAGGGAAAAGGCTAGAAGGATATTTGTTCAAATGTTATAAGTGAACGTGGCTGGGTGGTAGGATCACAGTTGAACTTTTTTTCTTTTACAGTGTGCTCTTCCTTCCAGTAGCAAATGTCTTTTTTTTTTTTTTAAGAGATGAAGTCTTGCTATGTTGCCCAGGCTGGTCTTGAACTCCTCGATTCAAGCAATCTTCCCACCTCAGCCTCTCAAAGTGCTGGGATTACAGACATGAGCCCCGACACCCAGTTGCAAATGTCATTTTTAATATAAAACAATTTTTAGGCCAGGCATGGTGGCTCATGCTTGTAATCCTAGCACTTTGGGAGGCTGAGGCAGGCAGATCACCTGAGATCAGGAGTTCGAGACCAGCCTGGCCAACATGGCGAAACCCTATCTCTACTAAAAATACAAAACTTAGCTGGGCGTGGTGGCATGCACCTCTTATCCCAGCTACTCAGGAGGCTGAGGCAGGAGAATTGCTTGAACCCGGGTGGCAGAGGTTGCAGTGAGCTTTGCAGTGAGCCAAGATCGCGCCACTGTACTCTAGCCTTGCTGACAGAGCGAGACTCCGTCTCAAACAAAAATTTTAGGCCGGGAGCAGTGGCTCACACCTGTAATCCCAGCACTTTGGGAGGCCGAGGCGGGCGGATCACAAGGTCAGGAGTTCGAGACTAGTCTGGCCAACATGGTGAAACCCCGTCTCTACTAAAAATACAAAAATTAGCCAGGTGTGGTGGTGGGCACCTAAAATCCCAGCTACTCGGGAGGCTGAAGCAGGAGAATTGCTTGAGCCCAGAGGCGGAGTTTACGGTGAGCCGAGATGGTGCCACTGCACTCCAGCCTGGGCAACAGTGAGACTCCATCTCAAAAAAAAAAAATTAGACAATTTATAGCATAAGATGAGATATCCAGTTACCAATTTAAGTACAGTAAGGAGTATCTCAAGTGAATACTTCAAAGTCAAGTAGATCTGAATATAAATTCTAGCACTTTCCAGCCCTATGGTCTTGACCCAACTATGCAACCTCTCTGAACCTTGTTTCCTCATCTTTAGAATGTAAATGACAGTGAGGTGCAGTGGCTCACGCCTGTAGTCCCAACTGCTCAGGAGGCTAAGGCGGGAGGGTCACTTGAGTCCTGGAGTTGGAGGTTACAGTGAGCTATGATTGTGCCACTGCACTCCAGCCTGGGCAATAGAGTGAGAAACCCTGCCTCTAAAAAATAAATAAGCTAGGTGAGGTGACTCACACCTGTAATCCCAACACTTTGGGGGGCTGAGGTGGGAGGATTGCTTGAGCCCAGGAGTTTGAGGCCAGCCTGGGCAACACAGCAAAACCCCATCTGTACAAAAAATTTAAAAATTAGCCAAGTGTGGTGGTGCACATCTATAGTCCCAGTTGCTTGGGAGGCTAAGTGGGGAGGATCGCTTGAGCCCAGAAGTTCAATGTTGCAGTAAGCTATGATCATGCAGCTGCACTCTAGCCTGGGTGACAGAGCAAGACCTTGACTCAAAAATAAGTAAATAAATAAATAAATAGATAAATAAATGACAAAGCAAGGCTGCCTGGCAAAGTTGTTGCAAGGATGGCAGTAAGTGGCTCTGTAGGCACATAACAGTTGCCAAAGGAGGTGGGGATAAGGTCAGAAGGCTTCCTGGAGGAGGTGAGATGGAGCTGGATTTGAACAGGGAGTCATGGATGGGATTTCTGGTGGAAAGAGAGCCCTGAGAGAGAGGCACAGTAAGAGCAAAGGTACAGATTAGAAGGGAACATGGGCTGGATTTGGACAGGAGAGCCTGGAAGCCTGGCCAGGGAGTGTGGATGCTGTCTCTGGGGCAGAGCCTCTGGAGATGTCTGAGTCACAAAGGGACCCAGAACCCTGGAGTGATGAAGTCCAGGCAGTGCCACGGTCTCCCTGGCACTCCACTCGGGTGGAGGGTGGATGGAAGGGTGACAGGGTGTTCTAAGAGTTGAGGCCAGCGGAGAGGAGGGTCCAAACCAAGGCACGACAGGGAGGGGAGGCAGGGGATAGACTGGGCTCCACAGGACAGAAGCCCATTTGTGAAATCAAAAGCAGCCCACTGAGGGATGCAAGGCCCATCACCCTTCCCTCCCCTAAGGGCACTGTGGACTGGGAGGGGGCCAGAGACCCTCCAGGCAGAGCTCCTGGCCCCCAACCCAGCAGCCCGGCTCTCCCTTCCAGCTCTGGGACGCTGCTTTCCATGGACCAACATTACTCCACCGGCGCTCCCAGGGATCACCAATGACACCACCATACAGCAGGGGATCAGGTAGGCACCTCCCTCCCCCACATCCTGGCCACACCCCTTCCACCCACAGCCCCATCTGACTCTGTCTCCCCAACAGCGGTCTTATTGACAGCCTCAATGCCCGAGACATCAGTGTTAAGATCTTTGAAGATTTTGCCCAGTCCTGGTATTGGATTCTTGTGTGAGTCACCAGATTCCCCTCCTCTTGTGTCCTTGCCTTCTTCCTCCCTGATCCTCTACCCCCTCGCCCAATGTCTGAAACACAGGCTTTGGACAGAGGAGGAGGAGCCAGAGCTCCGAATGGATTCCAAGACCAACAGGATTTATAAGGGAAAGAGGCCTAATCTGGGGACATTGGGTGGTGTGTGGAAAGGCAGGGAGGGCCTCTGTAAGGGGAAAGATTTGAGGGGCTAGGGCTGAACCTCACTGTCCTCACCCTGCCTACAGTGCCCTGGGGGTGGCTCTGGTCTTGAGCCTACTGTTTATCTTGCTTCTGCGCCTGGTGGCTGGGCCCCTGGTGCTGGTGCTGATCCTGGGAGTGCTGGGCGTGCTGGCATATGGCATCTACTACTGCTGGGAGGAGTACCGAGTGCTGCGGGACAAGGGCGCCTCCATCTCCCAGCTGGGTTTCACCACCAACCTCAGTGCCTACCAGAGCGTGCAGGAGACCTGGCTGGCCGCCCGTGAGTGTCCTGCCCACCCCCAAGCCACCAGCTGCCCAAGGACTGCCCTGGGCCATGCCCGGCCCCAGCCCTGGCCCTGACCTAGGTCTGTCTGCCCCATCCTCTGCAGTGATCGTGTTGGCGGTGCTTGAAGCCATCCTGCTGCTGGTGCTCATCTTCCTGCGGCAGCGGATTCGTATTGCCATCGCCCTCCTGAAGGAGGCCAGCAAGTTAGGGCCTGCCTGGGAGGGAGATGGGGTTGAGGACAGCGTGGACCCAGGAGTGCTAGGGGACCTAGGGGGTGCTAGAGAGGTGGCAGGGAGCCTCAGAGGAGAAGGGAGGAATATAGCACAGTGGTGAACACTGCTGTGGCTTTGCTTCCCCATCTGTAAAATGGGGGTAACAATAATTCCTGCCTTCTAGGGTTGTCTTGAGGATTCAATGAGTGCCTGGAATATGACATAGGCCTTCTAGAGGGGTTGGTGGGAGTGGTGGTGGCTGAGTGGAACGGCAGGAATCCGGGCCAGGAGGGGCAGCAGCTTGCTCCCGATCAGGAACTGCCACACACACCTGCCAAGGGATCACGCTTGGGGGTGATCTTCCCTTACTCCACCCGAAGCTGCCCCAGGTGGCTTCTCTGTGACCCTAGTTTCCTCTAAGGGTCCTGTGAGCCTGATTTATTCAGTTCTGTTTATCCAGTGAGCACCTACAGTATGCCTAGCCCTGCACCAGGCCCTGAGGACACAGATATGAAAGACAATGTCACTAACCCTGTTGGTCCCACCCTGGGGGAGTGGGGCAGGCCCCAGTGAGGGCAGCGGGGTCAGCCCCCCCCTTTTTTTTTTTGAGACGGAGTCTCGCTCTGTCGCCCAGGCTGGAGTGCAGTGGTGCGATGTCAGCTCACTGCAAACTCCGCCTCCCGGGTTCACGCCATTCTCCTGCCTCAGCCTCCGGAGTAGCTGGCACTACAGGCGCCCGCCACCATGCCCGGCTAATTTTTTGTATTTTTAGTAGAGATGGGGTTTCACCGTGTTAGCCAGCATGGTCTCGATCTCCTGACCTCGTGATCCGCCCGCCTCAGCCTCCCAAAGTGCTGGGATTACAGGCGTGAGCCACCGCGCCCGGCCGGGGTCAGCCCCTTGAGAAGATGGACAGCTGGGGCGGTGCCGGTTAACAGCTTTGTCTCCCTGCAGGGCTGTGGGACAGATGATGTCTACCATGTTCTACCCACTGGTCACCTTTGTCCTCCTCCTCATCTGCATTGCCTACTGGGCCATGACTGCTCTGTATCCTCTGCCCACGCAGCCAGCCACTCTTGGAGTCCTGGGGGTTGATGGAAAACAAAGCAATACTTGCCTTGTAGAGTGCCTTGGTGTCACTGGAAGAGGTGCCCCTTTCTCTGGGCAGACACACCAGCACTGTGCCTGAACAGAGTTGAAAGGGTGCACACAGGCTGAATTTCAGCCCTCTCTGTGCAGCAAACGATCTGCACAAGCACCTAGGAACAGGTCCCTAAGGAGCGAGTGACCTGTGGAGACCTCGTGTGATCATGCTTTCCTTGACTCCCCTCTGGGTACCTGGCTACATCGGGGCAACCCCAGTATGTGCTCTGGGCATCCAACATCAGCTCCCCCGGCTGTGAGAAAGTGCCAATAAATACATCATGCAACCCCACGGTAAGAGGAAGCAGGGGACATGGAGGCGGGACTAGTAGGGGTGAGGGGCTGTAGGGGCCACATTCCTCATTGTGCAGAGAAGACTGAGGCCACAGAGGGCAAGACACTTGTGCAAGGTCACACACTCAACCCCCAGCAGAGCTAGAAGAAACCAGTTCCCAGAATACCTGGTACTCCTGTTGAGCCATCCATCATGTGGGGAGGGAAACTGAGGCTGGGAGAGACAGCCCTGGATACCAGGACTTACTCCACCCCTCCCCAGGACATTGCTCTGACTTGAGGACCATCAACCACTTCACCCTCTGAGTCTCAGCCTACTCCTGTTTGTTTGTTTGTTTGTTTGTTTGTTTGTTTTGAGACAGGGTCTTGCTCTGTTGCCCAGGCTGGAGTGCAGCAGTGCAATCTCAGCTCACTGCAACCTCCATCCCCCAGGCTCAAGCAATCTTCCCACCTCAGCCTCCTGAGCAGCTGGAACTACTAGCGTATGACACCACGCCAGGCTAATTTTAAGCTTTTTGTAGAGGCAAGGTCTTGCTGTGTTACCCGGGCTGGTCTTGAACTCCTGGGGTTGCCCCGATGTAGTCAGGTACCCAAGCAATCCTCTGGCTTAACCTCCCAAAGTACTGGGATTATAGGAGTGAGCCACCACATGCAGCTCCATTCCTCTGTAAAATGAGGATAATTATAATACCCATCCCTGGGGTGGCTGAGAAGATGAAATGACTTTGGGCACATAAAGTGCTTAGTACAATGCCTGGCACCTGATAAGAGCTCAACAACAGGTTGAATTGTATTATATTGTTAAGTCTTACTCCCTTGGAACACAGAGCCCTAGGTAGTAGCCAGGTGGGACTCCCTGCGGGGGACCCGAGAGAGAAGCTGCTTCCAAAATTCCCCTGTGAGGTTCCCCGGGAGTGGCGCTGGGCTGCTGGGAATTTACTCTTCTCAAACCTGTCATATCTTCACCTCGTCTGAGCTGGGAACATGAGCTGTGCTGCAGGCATTAGCCCCACCCCTATTAAAAAGGGGAGGTTTGGCAGGCGCGGTGGCTCATGCCTGTAATCCCAGCACTTAGGAGGCCGAGGTGGGCAGATCACCTGAGGTCAGGAGTTTGAGACCAGCCTGGCCAACATGACAAAAACCTGTCTCCACTAAAAGTACAAAAATTAGCCAGGCATGGTAGCAGGTGCCTGTAATCCCAGCTACTCAGGAGGCTGAGGCAGGAGAATTGCTTGAACTCGGGAGGCGGAGGTTGCAGTGAGCTGAGATCGCGCCATTGCACTGCAGCCTGGGCGGCGAGACTCCGTCTCAAAAAAAAAAAAAAAAGGTTTATTTACATGTACAGAGGACCCACTATGTGCCAGGCACTGGGTATACAAAGCCCAAAATGATGTGGTTCTTTTTCTTTTTCTTTTTTTTTTCTTTTTTAATGAAAAAAAGGCTGTTACACAGGCTGGAGTGCAGTGATGCGATCATGGCTCACTGAAGCCTTGATCTCCCAGGCTCAAGTGATCTTCTCACCTCAGTCTCCCAAGTAGCTGGGACTACAAACAAGTGCCACCATGCCCGGCTAATTTTTTTTTTTAAGAGATGGCGTTTCACTATGTTGCCCAGGCTGGTCTCAAACAAATGGGCTCAAGCAATTTGCCTGCTTCAGCCTCCAAAAGTGTTGGGATTATACACATGAGCAACTGTGCTGGGTATGACGTGAGTGTTGTTTTCAACTTGCTTGTGATCTAGCAGTAAAGACTGACAGAAGGCCGCGCGCAGTGGCTCACACCTGTAATCCCAGCACTTTGGGAGGCCGAGGCAGGTGAATCATGAGGTCCAGAGTTCGAGACCAACCTGGCCAATATGGTGACAGAGTGAGACTCCATCTCAAAAAAAAAAAAAAGATTTTTTGATTAGCCAGGCATGGTGGCACACACCTGCAGTCCCAGCTACTTGGGAGGTTGAAGCAGGAGGATTGCTTGAACACGGGAGGCAGAGGTTGCAGTGAGCTGAGATTGAGCCACTGTACTCCAGCCTGGGCAACAGAGCGAGACCCTGTGTCAAAAAAAAATTTTTTTGGTTATATTTGCTAGAAAGGGTTGCTTTTTAATTTGTGACTTTTTACTTTTTATTATGGGAATTTTTAAACATATGCAAAAGTAGAGATGATAGCACAGTGAGTTCCCTGTACCCAGATTCCACAACCCTCAACTTTTTGCTATTCTTATTTCATCTATATCCTCACCTATAATTTTTTTTTTTTTTGAGATGGAGTTTTGCTCTTGTCTCCCAGGCTGGAGTGCAGTGGCGCGATCTCGGCCCACTGCAACCTCTGCCTCCTGGGTTCAAGCAATTATCCTGCCTCAGCCTCCTGAATAGCTGGGATAATAGGCGTCTGCCACCACGCCCGGCTAATTTTTTGTATTTTCAGTAGAGATGGGATTTCACCATGTTGGCCAAGCTAGTCTTGAACTCCTGACCTCAGGCGATCCGCCCACCTCGGCCTCCCAAAGTGCTGAGATTACAGGCATAAGCCACCGCACCCGCCTCATAAATTTTTTTTTCTGGAGACTTTTAAGGCAAATTCTGGACATCATGCCATTTCACCTGTACATGCATCGAGATGGATCTCAACAGATAAGAACTGTTTAAAAGCATAGCCACTATATCATTATCACATCTCACAAAATTAACAATAATTCCTTAATATCATCAAATACCCAGCCTGTTCAATTTGCCGGAAAGGGTTTTGGTAGACGTTGCAGAGGCTGCTCTGGAATGGGAATGCTGAGTGAGTGCCTTCCCCTCTGATTGAGACTGAGGGAGCTGATTATGCTTATGCTATAGGCAGACCAAACTGAGTTTGAGCCTGGAGATGGAACTCTCCGACAGAACTTGATTCCCGCAGTCCAGAGAAGCTACTTCCCACCTGTCAACTCTGGGAGGGGCAGGAGCTACTGGGAATGGGACGCCCAGGCTCCATACTGAGGCCCCCGATGCCTGAGCCTACTCTATCCCCGTCTACCCTCCCAGGCCCACCTTGTGAACTCCTCGTGCCCAGGGCTGATGTGCGTCTTCCAGGGCTACTCATCCAAAGGCCTAATCCAACGTTCTGTCTTCAATCTGCAAATCTATGGGGTCCTGGGGCTCTTCTGGACCCTTAACTGGGTACTGGCCCTGGGCCAATGCGTCCTCGCTGGAGCCTTTGCCTCCTTCTACTGGGCCTTCCACAAGCCCCAGGACATCCCTACCTTCCCCTTAATCTCTGCCTTCATCCGCACACTCCGGTAAGGATGGGGCAGGGGCCTGGTCATTGTAGGCACGGGGGCCCCAGGGGTCCTGGAGCTGTCTCTGACTGCATAACACCCTCTGCAGTTACCACACTGGGTCATTGGCATTTGGAGCCCTCATCCTGACCCTTGTGCAGATAGCCCGGGTCATCTTGGAGTATATTGACCACAAGCTCAGAGGTGAGTCTGGAGTCGGAGTAGGAGTCAGGAGCTGGGGAAGGCCATTAGGGAGGGGCAGTGACCAAACATGAGCCTTCCTCGCTCCCAGGAGTGCAGAACCCTGTAGCCCGCTGCATCATGTGCTGTTTCAAGTGCTGCCTCTGGTGTCTGGAAAAATTTATCAAGTTCCTAAACCGCAATGCATACATCATGGTGAGCTACACTGCAAGCAACCCTTTGTTCTGGTGCCCTTTGGTCTAGACACCCCCATCCTGGTCCAGGCAGCTCGCCTTGGTAACTCTGACCTTTCCACCTCCCTCAGATCGCCATCTACGGGAAGAATTTCTGTGTCTCAGCCAAAAATGCGTTCATGCTACTCATGCGAAACATTGTCAGGTTAGGCTGCTCCCCCCCCGCTTTGTGGCTCCCTCCTCTGATCTCCCACCCAAGGCTGGCTTCGTGGGTGTGCTGTGCTCAGTCGGGCCCTAGACTTAGTTTAGTGCTCTGCTCTTGCCATCTTGAAACGTGAACAATTTTCATTTTGCACCAGTCCCCACAAATTACGAAGCCAATTTCACTCTCAGCATTGCCAGGCCTCTCACCCTCAACCTGCCCTAACTTCTGGCACAGGGTGGTCGTCCTGGACAAAGTCACAGACCTGCTGCTGTTCTTTGGGAAGCTGCTGGTGGTCGGAGGCGTGGGTAAGGGACCAGAAGCTGTGGGGACAGAGGGTAGGGGTGCTGGGCAGCTGAAGAGGTGGCCTCAGAGGTGCAGCACTAACCCCCAGAATTATTCCACAGGGGTCCTGTCCTTCTTTTTTTTCTCCGGTCGCATCCCGGGGCTGGGTAAAGACTTTAAGAGCCCCCACCTCAACTATTACTGGCTGCCCATCATGGTGAGTGACTCCCCTCTCTGCTGCTCCACCCCCAACTCCCCAGAGGAACCCAATAACCCCAACGGGTCATGTCTTCCAGACCTCCATCCTGGGGGCCTATGTCATCGCCAGCGGCTTCTTCAGCGTTTTCGGCATGTGTGTGGACACGCTCTTCCTCTGCTTCCGTGAGTGACACCCCCAGCCACCTGTCCCCAACCTTAAAGTACTGAGCCGTTCAAGCATTTTTTTTTTTTTTTGGAGATTTGGTGCTTCTAGAAACAATGCCTTTGTGAGCTAAACGAACCAGAGGGAGCTTCTTGTGACATCCTGAGGCCAGGCGTTTAGGGAAGAAGGAAGAGAGTGAGCCCCCAGGCCGGTAGGCTCTCCAAAGAAGGAGCATTCTGATGGAGAGGTCTCTGCTATCTTCCCTAAGAAATCTCGGGTAGAAGTTAGCCATTAGAGGCCAGGCATGGTGGCTCACGCCTGTCATGCCAGCACTTTGGGGGACCGAGGTGGGCAGATCACCCTGAGGTCAGGAGTTCGAGACCAGCCTGGCCCACATGGTGAAACCCCTCTCTACTAAAAATACAAAAAATTAGCTGGGCGCGGTGGCGGGCGCCTGTAATCCCAGCCACTTGGGAGGCTGAAGCAGGAGAATCGCTTGAACTCAGGAGGCGGAGGTTGCAGCGAGCCGAGATTGCGCTACTGCACTTCAGCTTGGGCGACAGCAAGACTCCGTCTCAAAACAAAGAAAAAAGATTAAAAAAAAAAAAGAGCCATTAGAGAGACTTCCCAGCAGGTGGCTGTAGCGGCAGGGGATTTTCTTACTCTACAGCATGCATCCATTCAGGGTTTGCCAGTCTCCTCCTAAGCGACTGACATGCATTTTTTCCGCTAATTCTTATCATCGCTCTATGCAACATAATATTCCCGACCCCACTTCACAGGAGGAAACTGAGATTACATAACCTGCCCGGGGGTAAGGGTGGTGGTGCAGCTTGGATTCCAAATCCCGCAGGCAGCTTGCCTCCCAGTCCCCGATTTCCTGGCCCCAGGGTCCGCTCTAACCGGTCTCTGTTGCGGCTCAGTGGAAGACCTGGAGCGGAACAACGGCTCCCTGGACCGGCCCTACTACATGTCCAAGAGCCTTCTAAAGATTCTGGGCAAGAAGAACGAGGCGCCCCCGGACAACAAGAAGAGGAAGAAGTGACAGCTCCGGCCCTGATCCAGGACTGCACCCCACCCCCACCGTCCAGCCATCCAACCTCACTTCGCCTTACAGGTCTCCATTTTGTGGTAAAAAAAGGTTTTAGGCCAGGCGCCGTGGCTCACGCCTGTAATCCAACACTTTGAGAGGCTGAGGCGGGCGGATCACCTGAGTCAGGAGTTCGAGACCAGCCTGGCCAACATGGTGAAACCTCCGTCTCTATTAAAAATACAAAAATTAGCCGAGAGTGGTGGCATGCACCTGTCATCCCAGCTACTCGGGAGGCTGAGGCAGGAGAATCGCTTGAACCCGGGAGGCAGAGGTTGCAGTGAGCCGAGATCGCGCCACTGCACTCCAACCTGGGTGACAGACTCTGTCTCCAAAACAAAACAAACAAACAAAAAGATTTTATTAAAGATATTTTGTTAACTCAGTAAATCTGTGACTCATTCTCTCCACGACGACAGGCGGCCTTTTTTTTTCCGCGCCCGGCTCTTTAAAATCGGCCCCGCCCCTGTGACGTGTCCTGGTGCCGCGGCCAATCAAAAAGCCCAATAAGGATGGTGCCAGTCCCTTCTTCACCCCAGCCAGTCCGCTTCCCGTTCGGGTCACGCGCTCCGGGCCTCCAAGAGGGCCTCCAAGAGGGCCAATCGGAAGGGCAAGCTTCGAGATGCTGCGTGATCACGTGGGAGGAGATGAGCTACTTGAAGACCAATTAGAGTCCGGGAAGCGCGGCGGGGCCTCCAGACCGGGGCGGGCTTAAGGGTGACATCTGCGCTTTAAAGGGTCCGGGTCAGCTGACTCCCGACTCTGTGGAGTCTAGCTGCCAGGGTCGCGGCAGCTGCGGGGAGAGATGACTGGGGAGCGACCCAGCACGGCGCTCCCGGACAGACGCTGGGGGCCGCGGATTCTGGGCTTCTGGGGAGGCTGTAGGGTTTGGGTGTTTGCCGCGATCTTCCTGCTGCTGTCTCTGGCAGCCTCCTGGTCCAAGGCTGAGAACGACTTCGGTCTGGTGAGTCACCCTTTGCATAGCCCCATCCCCGACCCGCGCAGGTGATCGACACCTAGTGTCCCCCGGAACGCGGGCGGCTGAGCCGACTTTCCGCGACAGGACCCTTTTCTTTCTCCCAGACCCCGTTTCCTCCTACCGCTCCCAGCCCCTCTCCCTCTCCGGGTCCCCGTCCTTCTCCTCATTCGAGCCCCTTCCTCTTTTGGGGTCCCCTTCCCTCCCTGAAGGCGCCTTCTCCTTTCGTAGACCCTCCCCTGCTCCGAGCCTCCAGCTTCGCTCCAAACTCCCCTTCGTGTTCCTCTTTCTTGTTCTGGGACCCCATCCCCTACTCGGGATCCCCATTAGATCCTCCCTCTCCCATCGGAACGTGGGTTCCTAAAACCCCCAAGACAAGTTTGTCTTTGTTGACCCTTCCTCCTCCCATGACAGGTGCAGCCGCTGGTGACCATGGAGCAACTGCTGTGGGTGAGCGGGAGACAGATCGGCTCAGTGGACACCTTCCGCATCCCGCTCATCACAGCCACTCCGCGGGGCACTCTTCTCGCCTTTGCTGAGGCGAGGAAAATGTCCTCATCCGATGAGGGGGCCAAGTTCATCGCCCTGCGGAGGTCCATGGACCAGGGTATAAAGATGTCTGGGTGAAAGAGCCGGTGCTAGGTTGGATGGGTGGGCAGCCCAATGAGCCCAAGGGCCCTGAGGATAGGGGAACTTAGAGGGTTGGTTGCCTGAGTCCCTGAGGGGTAGAGGGAACCCGAGAAGGGCAAGTGTCTAGGACAGTGATCTGGAAATTGGGATCACCAAGGAGTTGGACATTCACTTAGCAAACATTTATTGGGTACTATATACCTATACCAGGCACTATTTTAGGTTTCATGAATATAGCCACGAACAAAACAGATCAAAAATCTCTGCCCTCAGGATTTAAATTGTACTGGAAGGAGACAGACAAGCATAATAAACAAGTAAACTTTTTTGTCTGTTGCAAGGTGATAAATGCAATGGAGAAAAATAAAACAGGACAAGAGGTATAGATAGTGCAAGTGTTGGATTGCACCCTGGGACCATCGGAAGGCCTGAGGTCCCTAGCAGAAGGTGGGAAATTAACGGGAAGTGGTAGAAAGGGTACCTGCAGAGTGCTCACTCTGGGTTTCTTCCTCCAATTTTTTTCAGGCAGCACATGGTCTCCTACAGCGTTCATTGTCAATGATGGGGATGTCCCCGATGGGCTGAACCTTGGGGCAGTAGTGAGCGATGTTGAGACAGGAGTAGTATTTCTTTTCTACTCCCTTTGTGCTCACAAGGCCGGCTGCCAGGTGGCCTCTACCATGTTGGTATGGAGCAAGGATGATGGTGTTTCCTGGAGCACACCCCGGAATCTCTCCCTGGATATTGGCACTGAAGTGTTTGCCCCTGGACCGGGCTCTGGTATTCAGGTCTCTGTCCTAGGAGATAGGTGGAGGGGGCTGCCTTGTGGAGAGTCTGAGGGATACCCCCAAATGGACTCCTTTCCAAGGGGAAGATTCTCTGAAGTCAGATTTTCTGGCTTGGGTGGGATTCCTTGAAAGACAGGGCATCCTGGTAGGAACACATTATCAGGAGAAGAGGGAACTCTGCCATTGGCTTCCCATTTGGCATTGTCAACAGGACTGCGTTAGTCCATGCAATACCCTCATGCAAAGTAGAAAAAGGCACTGCCTCTTTGGACAGACACAAGCCTGTGCCAGGGTGCACAGCTTGGCGAGTGAGCACAGGTTGGGTTTAAGCTCTCATGCACCCTGTGGCTGGGCCCCTGGTGCACATGTCCAGCTGTACACCCTGGGAGAGCTTCTTAATTCAAACAGGGTGTGTATTTATGGGATCTGACTGGAACCCTCAGTGAGCAAGGGCTGAACTCAAGGGGACCATACATGTGATTGCATTTGGGAAGTGGTGGGTTCTCTGTCCCTGCCTCTGAGCCCCTAGAGTCTCCTTCTGTGACACCCAGTTCCCTTTCCCACAGAAACAGCGGGAGCCACGGAAGGGCCGCCTCATCGTGTGTGGCCATGGGACGCTGGAGCGGGACGGAGTCTTCTGTCTCCTCAGCGATGATCATGGTGCCTCCTGGCGCTACGGAAGTGGGGTCAGCGGCATCCCCTACGGTCAGCCCAAGCAGGAAAATGATTTCAATCCTGATGAATGCCAGGTCAGGAGTCCATGAGATGTTCCCTACCCATTTGACCCTCCCTGCCCTCCAGAACATCATTTCACGCACAGACCCAGGGTCTGACTGCTCCACTCAGTGCCACACACCCTTGCTCCCCTCGGGGACAGGGCATTTTCCCTGTTCCCTCCCTGAGGTCCTGTCCTCTCCCCTCAGCCCTATGAGCTCCCAGATGGCTCAGTCGTCATCAATGCCCGAAACCAGAACAACTACCACTGCCACTGCCGAATTGTCCTCCGCAGCTATGATGCCTGTGATACACTAAGGCCCCGTGATGTGACCTTCGACCCTGAGCTCGTGGACCCTGTGGTAGCTGCAGGAGCTGTAGTCACCAGCTCCGGCATTGTCTTCTTCTCCAACCCAGCACATCCAGAGTTCCGTGAGTGCCTCATGGGTGGGGTCAGCAGGGAGAGCCCTGTGTCTAGACAAGGCCTGGGCAGAGACCCTCTCTCCCTGACTCTCCTGCTCTCCCCAGGAGTGAACCTGACCCTGCGATGGAGCTTCAGCAATGGTACCTCATGGCGGAAAGAGACAGTCCAGCTATGGCCAGGCCCCAGTGGCTATTCATCCCTGGCAACCCTGGAGGGCAGCATGGATGGAGAGGAGCAGGCCCCCCAGCTCTACGTCCTGTATGAGAAAGGCCGGAACCACTACACAGAGAGCATCTCCGTGGCCAAAATCAGTGTCTATGGGACACTCTGAGCTGTGCCACTGCCACAGGGGTATTCTGCCTTCAGGACTCTGCCTTCAGGAACACGGGTCTGTAGAGGGTCTGCTGGAGACGCCTGAAAGACAGTTCCATCTTCCTTTAGACTCCAGCCTTGGCAAAATCACCTTCCCTTTACCAGGGAAATCACTTCCTTTAGGACTGAAAGCTAGGCGTCCTCTCCCACAAAAAAGTCCTGCCCTCATCTGAGAATACTGTCTTTCCATATGGCTAAGTGTGGCCCCACCACCCTCTCTGCCCTCCCGGGACATTGATTGGTCCTGTCTTGGGCAGGTCTAGTGAGCTGTAGAATTGAATCAATGTGAACTCAGGGAACTGGGGAAGGCTGAGCCTCCTCTTTGGTGTTGCGGTAAGATAACCGACAGGGCTGGTGAAAGTCCCCAGATGGCAGGATATTTGGTTTCAGAGTAAGGACTAGGTGCACCACCATGACTGACTATCAATCAAAATGTTTGTAACTTAAAATTTTTAATGAAGGATAATGAATATTTGTAGAGTCTCTATGGTTCTGTCAATGCACATCTTCGTGTCTGTTTTCCTCATGTATCCTTGTGAGCCTGGGTGAGTTCTGGGGAGAGACCTGATGTGCGTACTGCCTGTGAAAATCTGACTTTGGCAAATCAAATCCTCTTTTCCTTTTGACATGCCCTCTTTTTTTGTTGTTGCTTTTTTTGAGACAGGGCTCGCTCTGTCACCCAGGCTGGAGTGCAGTTGCACAATCACGGCTCACTGAAGCCTCAACCTCCTGGGCTCAAGTGATCCTCACGTCTCAGCCTCCGGAGTAGTTGGGACTACAGGTCAGTGACACCATGCCTGGTTAATTTTTTTAATTTTTATTTTCAGTAGAGACAAGGTTGCGCTATGTTGCCCAGGCTGGTATGGAACTCCTGTGCTTAAGCAATCCTCATGCCTCAGCTTCCCAAAGTGCTGAGGTTACAGCTATGAGCCACCGCACCCAGCCTACATTCCTTCTTATCACCGAGAAACAGGTTGATCTTCACAGGTGTAATGAGTATGAAGGGAGTGCCATAAGATATTTTTTATTTTTTATTTATTCATTTTTTAATTTAATTTTTTTTTTTTTGAGATGGAGTCTTGCTCTGGCACCCAGGCTAGAGTGCAGTGGTGCGATCTCGGCTCACTGCAACCTCTGCCTCCCAGGTTCAAGCGATTCTTCTGCCTCAGCTTCCCGAATAGCTGGGATTACAGGTGCCCACCACCACACCCGGCTAATTTTTGTATTTTTAGTAGAGACGGAGTTTCACCATGTTGGCCAGGCTGGTCTCAAACTCCTGGCCTCAGGTGATCCACCCGCCTTGGCCTCCCAAAGTGTTGTGATTACAAGCATGAGCCATGGTGCCGGCGGGCTGATTTTTTTAATTTTTAGTAGAGACAAAGTCTCACTATATTGCCTAGGTTGGTCTCAAACTGCTGAGCTCAAGCAATCTGCCGGCCATGTTCTCTCAAAGTGCTGGGATTACAGGCTTGAGCCCCTGCACCCAGCCTGTAAGATATTTTAAAATCCACACTTGGCCAAGCGTGGTGGCTCACACATATAATCCCAGCACTTTGGGAGGCCAAGGTGGGCGGATCACAAGGTCAGGAGTTCGAGACCAGCCTGGCCAATATGGTGAAATCCCATCTCTACTAAAAATACAAAAACTAGCCAGGCGTGTTGGCTTACACTTATAGTCCCAGCTACTCAGGTGGCTGAGGCAGGAGAATCACTTGAACCAGGAGGCGGAGTTTGCAGTGAGCTGAGATCACAGCACTGCACACCAGCCTCGGCAACAGAGTGAGACTCCGTCTGAAAAAAAAAAAATCCACGCTGTTTTATATTTCTAACATGGGGTAGGATACCATCCTCCATGAAATAGGGTGCAAGTGTGTGAAATGCAGATGGGAATCCTGTCCCAGCTAGCCTGACAGAGAAGTGAGCACTTCCTATGGCAAATTATGTAAGAAAATATTCCCCAGGCAGATGCTTATGAAAAGAATCTGTTCAGCCTGCAGGTAAGTGGGAGAGCCCTTGCTCAAAAAAAAAAAGAAAAAGAAATAGTGGAAGACAAAAAGGAAAGGACACTATGAATGTCTGACCCATGAACTACTACCTGTTAGAAACAGAAGTGCTGGGAGGCTTGAGAGACAGACACTACCTTCCTGGCTAGGTGTGGTGGCTCAGATCTGTAATGCTAGCACTTCGGGAGACCAAGGCAGGATGATCAAATTAAAGGGCATCCTGGGCAACATGGCAATACCCCATGTCTAAAAAATTTAAAAATTAGCCAAGCATGGTAACGCACACCTATAGTCCTAGCTACATGGGAGGATGGCTTGATCTCTTTGACCCCAGGAGTTCGAGGCAGTAGTGAGCTATGATTGCACCACTGCACACCAACCTAGGTGACAGAGTGAGACCTCATCTCCAAAAAACCAAACCAAAACAAAAAACCTTCAAGAAAGAAAAAAAGCTTGACCTTCCCTCCCTCACTCTTTACAGACCCATGGAATCTGAAGCTCTGGTGTTGGAGCCACCAGGCATTAACAAGCCTTCTGGGTGATTCGTAATACGTTTAAGTTTGAAAACCAGGGTCAGAACTTTTAAACAAGTGCAAGTGTCCAGCTAAAATGAATTATATGTACGTCAAAGTTGCAGAAATAGTTAAAGAACCTTTTTTTTCCAGCTTTTTTTTTTTCTTTTAATACACAGGGAAGGGTCAGGTGCAGTGGCTCACGCCTGTAATCCCAGCACTTTGGGAGGCCGAGGTGGGCGGATCACAAGGTCAGGGGTTCTAGACCAGCCTGGCCAACATGGTAAAACCCCATCTCTACTAAAAATACAAATATTAGCCATATGTGGTGGCACACGCCTGTAGTCCCAGCTACTCGGGAGCCTGAGGCAGGAGACTCACTTGAACCTGGGAGGCAGAGGTTGCAGTGAGCCGAGATTATGCCACTGCCCTCCAGCCTGGGCGACAGAGCAAGACTTCATCTTAAAAAAAAAAAAAATACACAGGAAAGATTGGGACAAGTGGCAGGAGACTGAAAGGGGAAAGAGCTTGTTTGTACTAATGGGACAAAGTGGGCCGACTCTGGGCACACTGCTTATGAGTTAGCTCTACTCTGTGAGGAAATTTTTTTTTTTTTTTTGAGACGGAGTCTTGCTCTGTTGCCCAGGCTGGAGTGCAGTGGCGCAATCTTGGCTCCCCGCAACCTCTGCCTCGCTGGTTCAAGCAATTCCCCTGCCTCAGCCTCCTAAGTAGCTGGGATTACAGGCGCCTGCCACCACGCTCGGCTAATTTTTTGGTATTTTTAGTAGAGACCCGGTTTCACCATGTTGGCCAGACTGGTCTCGAACTCCTGACCTCAGGCAATACGCCCGCCTCGGCCTCCCAAAGTGCCGGGATTACAGGTGTGAGCCACCCCACCCGGCCAAGGAAATATTTAAAAAATAAAATAAAATAAGTTATTTAAAAATTGGGGCAAGTTGGCTGGGCACGGTGGCTCACGCCTGTAATCCTAGCACTTTGGGAGGCTGAGGAAGGGGGATCACTTGAGGTCAGGAGTTCAAGACCAGTCTGGCCAACATGGTGAAACACTGTCTCTACTAAAAATTCAAAAAATTAGCCAGGCATTGTGGCAGGCACCTACAATCCCAGCTACTCAGGAGACTAAGGCAGGAGAATCGCTTGAACCTGGGAGACGGAGATTGCAGTGAGTTGAAATCATGCCACTGCACTCCAGCCTGGGCTATGGAGCGAGACTCTCCCTCAAAAAAAAAAAAATCGGGGTAAGTGTTATCAATCTAAAAAATAATAATTAAAAAGTTCAGAATCTAGGCCAGGCGCTGTGGCTCACACCTATAATCCCAGCACTTTGGGAGGCAGAGGCAAGCGAATCACCTGAAGTCAGGAGTTCAAGACCATCCTGGTCAACATGACGAAACCCCGTCTCTACCAAAAATACAAAAATTAGCTGGGTGTTGTGGGTCGCGCCTGTAGTCCCAGCTATTCAGGAGACTGAGGAAGGAGAATCGCTTGAACCCGGGAGCGAGAGGTTACAGTGGGCCAAGATCATACCATTGCATTCCAGTCTGGGAGACACAGCGAGACTGTCTTAAACAAACGAACAAAAGCTGAGAATCTAGTGTTGTTGCTTTTTACAGATGGAGTCTTGCCATGTTGCCCAGGTTAGATTCAGACTGAAGTTCAAGGGATCCTCCTGCCTCAGCCTCCTAGAGTAGATAGAGTTGGGACTGCAGGCACATACCACTGTACCAGGCTTAGAATCTAGTTTAAAGAGTTTATCCACCGGCTCTCCCTCCCTCTCCCTCTGTCTCCCTCTCCCCACGGTCTCCCTCTCATGCGGAGCCGAAGCTGGACTGTACTGCTGCCATCTCGGCTCACTGCAACCTCCCTGCCTGATTCTCCTGCCTCAGCCTGCCCAGTGCCTGCCATTGCAGGCACGCGCCGCCATGCCTGACTGGTTTTGGTGGAGACGGGGTTTCGCTGTGTTGGCCGGGCAGGTCTCCAGCCCCTAACCGCGAGTGATCCCGCCAACCTCAGCCTCCCGAGGTGCCGGGATTGCAGACGGAGTCTCGTTCACTCAGTGCTCAATGGTGCCCAGGCTGGAGTGCAGTGGCGTGATCTCGGCTCACTACAACCTACACCTCCCAGCCGCCTGCCTTGGCCTCCCAAAGTGCCGAGATTGCAGCCTCTGCCCGGCCGCCACCCCGTCTGGGAAGTGAGGAGCGTCTCTGCCTGGCCGCCCATCGTCTGGGATGTGAGGAGCCCCTCTGCCTGGCTGCCCAGTCTGGAAAGTGAGGAGCGTCTCCGCCCGGCCGCCATCCCATCTAGGAAGTGAGGAGCGCCTCTTCCCAGCCGCCATCACATCTAGGAAGTGAGGAGCGTCTCTGCCCGGCCGCCCATCGTCTGAGATGTGGGGAGCGCCTCTGCCCCGCCGCCCCATCTGGGATGTGAGGAGTGCCTCTGCCCGGCCGAGACCCCGTCTGGGAGGTGAGGAGCGTCTCTGCCCGGCCGCCCCGTCTGAGAAGTGAGGAGACCCTCTGCCTGGCAACCACCCCGTCTGAGAAGTGAGGAGCCCCTCCGCCCGGCAACTGCCCCGTCTGAGAAGTGAGGAGCCTCTCCGCCCCGCAGCCACCCCATCTGGGAAGTGAGGAGCATCTCCGCCCGGCAGCCACCCCGTCCGGGAGGGAGGTGGGGGGGGTCAACCCCCCGCCCGGCCAGCCGCCCCATCTGGGAGGGAGGTGGGGGGTCAGCCCCCCCGACCGGCCAGCCGTGCCATCCGGGAGGGAGGTGGGGGGGTCAGCCCCCCACCTGGCCAGCCGTGCCGTCCGGGAGGGAGGTGGGGGGGTCAGCCCCCCGCCCGGCCAGCCGCCCCGTCCGGGAGGTGAGGGGTGCCTCTGCCCGGCCACCCCTACTGGGAAGTGAGGAGCCCCTCAGCCCGGCCAGCCACCCCGTCCGGGAGGGAGATGGGGGGGTCAGCCCCCCCACCCGGCC
>NT_167249.2:3055668-3094270 GCF_000001405.40 Homo sapiens | reverse complement strand
GGCCAGCAGGCCTGGGGGGCCCAGGGGGCAGCCGGGCGGCTGTCCTTGTCCAACAGTGGGTCAGTTACGCCGACACGGAGTTAATACCAGCTGCCTGTGGAGCAACGCTGCCGGCCCTGGGACTCCGAAGCTCGGCCCAGGACCCCCAGGTGAGGGGGTTGTACAGAAGAGGGGGAGGGGAGAAATTCAGAGGAGGGAAGCGAGGACTGGAATGGACAATGAGACAAGAAGGTAGTACATCAGATGTGGGAAAAGAGTGATCAAATCCCAGATTGCCAACTGGTATGGTAACCCTGGGCACGTTTCATAGACCCGCTGTGTCTTGGTCTTCCTATGTCTATGAACACGCAGGCAAGTTGATGTAATGCTTGCCTCACTGAGTTAATAGGATTAAAAGATGTGCGCAGAGCACATAGTTTAGTGCCAGGCACTTTTAAAGTCTCTTAGTAAAAGTTTGATGAGTCTGAAATTGATGAGGATAGAAGTTATTTGAATTGTAGGAAAAGACTGGGTGAGGGAGAGATGACAATTGCTGGGAGGAGATAAAAGAGAAATGAAATGAGGAAGGTAAGTGAGAGGAGAGATAACCCTGCCAGATTGTAACTATCAGTCCTTCCAAAGGAGACCTGTGCCTTGGTGTACTTTCAACTCTGCCTCCTTGCATGGTATTGAGCACATGATGGAAAATTAGTATTTCTTGAATGGATGAATGAATGTGGCAGACCCTGACTTGCTCCCTCATATTGTGATCACCCTATCTACAATAGAGTCCTTGCATTCAGAATGTCTGTCCAAACAAACAAATAAAATAGAGTCCCTCTCTTCTGGAATTCCCTGTTTGTTCCCCTCTTTTATTTCTTTTCTTTTCTTTTTTTTTTTTTTTTTTGAGACGGAATCTCCTTCTGTTGCCCAGGCTGGAGTGCCACGGTGCGATGGTGCGATCTCAGCTCACTGCTCAAGCGATTCTCCTGCCTCAGCCTTCTGAGTAGCTGGGATTACAGGCGCCCACCACCTTGTCCGGCTAATTTTTTGTATTTTTAGTAGAGATGGGGTTTTGTCATGTTGACCAGGCTGGTCTCGAACTCCTAACCTCAGATGGTCTGCTCGCCTCGGCCTCCCAAAGTGCTGAGATTATAGGTGTGAGCCACCACGCCTGGCCCCTGTTCCCCTCATTCTGCTTTATTTTTCTTCATAGGAGTTAAGAAAAATAGGGCACTTCATTTTATATTTGCTCATTTGTTGTTCCCCTACAAGAATGTTAACTCTACCAGGTCAGGGTTCTGTCCATCTGTTCGTGTTTTCCTCTCATTCCCTGGAGAAGTACTTAATACATATTTATTGATGTTCTGAACCTGGCAGTTATTGAGATGCCTCATATAATCTTTACTTCTATGCTTAACATATTGCATCTAACACATAAGTATTGAGTAGGGATTTGTTGGATGAGTCAGAAGTGTTTTGTTTTTTTTTTTCTGAGACGGAGTCTCGCTGTGTTGCCCAGGCTGGAGTGCAGTGGCGTGATCTCGGCTCACTGCAAGCTCCACCTCCTGGGTTCATGCCATTCTCCTGCCTCAGCCTCCCGAGTAGCTGGGACTACAGGCGCCCGCCACCACGCCTGGCTATTTTTTTTTTGTATTTTTAGTAGAGATGAGGTTTCACCATGTTAGCCAGGATGGTCTCGATCTCCTGACCTCGTGATCCGCCCAGAAGTATTTTTATTGTGACTATTTGAGTGAAGAAATGGGACTCAGAGGTGGTGATTTGTGAGAGTGGGGTGGAGGGAGGCCACATGGATTGGGTTGTGGTGGGAGATGGAGGTGGGCCAAACCTTGTCTCACACTTCTTCCCCTTCCTGCCAGGCTGTGCTGGGGGCCCTGGGCAGGGCCCTGAGCCCCTTGGAGGAGTGGCTTCGGCTGCACACCTACTTGGCCGGGGAGGCCCCCACTCTGGCTGACCTGGCGGCTGTCACAGCCTTGCTGCTGCCTTTCCGATACGTGAGTCACCAGGCCTGGGGAAGAACAAGACTGCTCTCCTCAGACCTCACTGTAGGGTGACTGAGAAGAGTCATTTATTTCCTGTTCCAGGTCCTAGACCCACCTGCCCGCCGGATCTGGAATAATGTGACTCGCTGGTTTGTCACGTGTGTCCGGCAGCCAGAATTCCGAGCCGTGCTAGGAGAAGTGGTTCTATACTCAGGAGCCAGGCCTCTCTCTCATCAGCCAGGTGAGGAAGGGCGAGGAGTTGGAGGATAGGGGCTTCCCTGGGGCCTTCCATGCAACTCACTTTCTTTTTTTCCTAGAAATGGCAGAATCACTGGGGCAGGGTCCTGCGGGAGAGGAGGGAGAGGGGGGAGGTCAGCATGGGCAAGACCTCGGGCATCTAAAATACCCCATCTGAAACCTAGTATGGCCGTCCAAGAGGGTCCCCAGCTGGCTGAGTCTGAATTTCTGCACCTCTCTCTAGGCCCCGAGGCTCCTGCCCTCCCAAAGACAGCTGCTCAGCTCAAGAAAGAGGCAAAGAAACGGGAGAAGCTAGAGAAATTCCAACAGAAGCAGAAGATCCAACAGCAGCAGCCACCTCCAGGGGAGGTGAGGCGAGGGTGGAGCTGGAAGGAAAGTTGATGTGTGCGGTGATGGGTTGGCTGATGCCTGGGCCTATGTCTTCTCCCTCCCAAGCAGAAGAAACCAAAACCAGAGAAGAGGGAGAAACGGGATCCTGGGGTCATTACCTATGACCTCCCAACCCCACCCGGGGAAAAGAAAGGTACTAGGAGTGGGAAGGGGCTCACCCCTCAGCAGCCCCTTCTAAGTTTTCACCCTATCTTGCTCTATTCTTGCTCTCACCACTTTGTTTGGTGAGGAATTGCAGACCCCCTGCCCTGCCTCTAGGCCCCTCAAATGCCTGTCCTATGATGTGAGTGACGGAGATCCCGATCCCTCTCTGCCAGCACGTCTCCTTCCCAGAGTGCTCCCAGCCACGGCACTGAGCCCTCCCTTCCTCTCCCCCAGATGTCAGTGGCCCCATGCCCGACTCCTACAGCCCTCGGTATGTGGAGGCTGCCTGGTACCCTTGGTGGGAGCAGCAGGGCTTCTTCAAGCCAGAGTATGGGGTGAGTAGGCACTGCTGCCCAGGCCCAGAGTGGGTGGGGTGGGGAAGGGCAGGACTGAAGGATGTGTTGCCTGGGAGGGGCTGGGAGAGGTGACCTGAGGCCTTAAACATGTGCCATCCTTCTCCACCATCAGCGTCCTAATGTGTCAGCAGCAAATCCCCGAGGTGTCTTCATGATGTGCATCCCACCCCCCAATGTGACAGGCTCCCTGCACCTGGGCCATGCACTCACCAACGCCATCCAGGACTCCCTGACTCGATGGTGAGCTTCTATCTGCACCTTCCTCTGGTTCCCTCTGCCTAGTCTGGCTCTCTCCTTTTCCCTGACAGCCCCCCGAGCCTCTCTCCTTCTGGGTTGGTGCTCACTTCTGCCCCCAGTGGTGCTACACTTCTCTCTGTCATTCCAATCTGATCATTTAGCTTCCTCTCCTAGTCCAGTACTCCCATGCAACACCGCCACTTGCAGACTCTCTTCTATCCCTTCTTTCTTTATTTAATTTTAATTTAATTTAATTTAATTTTTTGTAAAGATGAGTTTTCACTTTGTTGCTCAGTCTGGTCTCCAACTCCTGGCTCAAGTGATTCTCCTGTCTCAGACTCCCAGAGTGCTGGGATTATAGGTGTGAGGCACCACACCCAGTCTCTCCCTTCTTTTTCTAGTAACAATAACATTATTTTGAATTTAATTAGGAACATATGAATATATATATTTTTTTTTGGGGGGACAGAGTCTTGTTCTGTTGCCCAGGCCGGAGTGCAGTGACGCCATCTCGGCTCATGGCAACCGCTGCCTCCTGGGTTCAAGTGATTCTCCTGCCTCAGCCTCCCAAGTAGCTGGGATTACAGGAATGCGCCACCACAACTGACCAAAATATATGAATATATTCTTGTAAGAAATTTAAAGTTTCAAATCTCCTTGACCATCCCCCTCCACACCTACTTCCTCCTAAGATTTAGCCATTGTTATCACTTTGATGTGTATCTTCCCAGATCTTTCCTATTTACTTACATATACACGTACCCATAGAAATTTATAGTTCTCCTTTTGGGTGAGTCTTTTCTATTTTTTAACATAAAGGGTTCATATTACACTTGTTATGATCTAGCTTTCTTCTTACACTTAATACTTTCTCTTGGAGATCTTTCCTTGTCCTTACACACATACCACACATACTGACTTCCTTCTTTTTAATTGTTCCATAATATCTCATAGTGTGGCTGTACCATAGTGAAGTCATTCTTTTTTTTTTTTTTTTTTTTTTTTTTTTGAGACAGAGTTTCACTCTTTTTGCTCAGGCTGGAGTACAGTGGCATGATCTCGGCTCACCGCAACCTCCACCTCCTAGGTTCAAGCGATTCTCTTGCCTCAGCCTCCCAAGTAGCTGGCATTACAGGCACCTGCCACCGCGCCTGGCTAATTTTTGTATTTTTAGTAGAGATGGGGTTTCACCATGTTGGCCAGGCTGGTCTCAAACTCCTGACCTCAGGTGATCTGCCTGCCTCGGCCTCCCAAAGTGCTGGGATTACAGGCGTGAGCCACTGCTCCCGGCCTGGAGTCACTTTTTAATTAATGATTCATTCTGTTTTTTGTTTTTTGTTTTTTTTCTGTTGAAAACCTTACTCTAATGCACATCCCTGTATATCAAGTTTGTCCAACCTGCAGCCTGTGGGCCACATGCGGCCCAGGACGGCTTTGAATGCAGCCTAACACAAATTTGTAAACTTTGTTTAAACATTTAAGAATTTTTTTGCGATTTTTTTTTTTTAGCTCATCAGCTATCGTTAGTGTTAGTGTATTTTTTTAAATTTATTTTTATTATTTATTTATTTATTTATTTTTTGAGACGGGTCTTGCACTGTCACCCAGGCTGGAGTGCAGTGGCACAGTCTCGGCTCACTGCAAGCTCCAAACTCCGCCTCCCACGTTAACGCCATTCTCCTGCCTCAGCCTCCCAAGTAGCTAGGACTACAGGTGCCCACCACCACGCCTGGCTAATTTTTTTTTTGTATTTTTAGTAGAGACGGGGTTTCACCATGTTAGCCAGGATGGTCTCGATCTCCTGACCTCGTGATCCGCCCGCCTCGGACTCCCAAAGTGCTGGGATTACAGGCGTGAGCCACTGCTCCCAGCCAGTGTTAGTGTATTTTATCTGTGGCCCAAGACAATTCTTCCATGTGGCCCAGGGAAGCCAAAAGATTGGATACCCCTGCTCTATATGCTTGCTGAAGCATGTGTGGAAGGGTTTCGCTGGTGTAGCTATCAAGAAGTGAAACTGCTAGGTCGGCAGGGGCACACCTATATTAAGTACAAACGGAAGCTGCCAAGTTGCCCTGCAGAATGGCTTTGCTGATTGATACCTCCAGGAATTGCTGTGAGAGTGTTCATTTCCCCACCCTTGCTAAGCCTGAGCATTAGGGTTGCCTAATTAGTTTTGCCAATCTGATGGGCAAAAAAATACCTCTGTTGTTTTACTTTGTACCTTTCTGATTGCTATTGAAGTTGTGCCTATTTTCATGTTTTTTGGCCAGTCAGGTTTACCCATATGTGAATTGTCTGTATCTATCTTTTCCCCGTTTTTCTATTGATTCTTCGTTCTTTTTCTTTTTAATTTTTTTTTTGAGAATTCTTTACCTGTTCTGGGTATCAATTTTTTTGTTAAATATTGTAAATGTTTTTGTTGTATTATTGTGTGGTAGTTTTCCTGTTAATTGTAAATGTTTCTCCTGTTTTCTGTTACTATTTGTTTTCACTGTTAATATTTTAATTAGTGATAAATACAAAGTAATATTCTAGGTGACAAATCTTTTTAAAAAGTATTTTAAAATAACTTTACCATTTTTGGAAACCAGGGTTTATTATATTTAAATTTTGAGAATTTTTTCTGGTGTCTTATGTACTAAATTAATGTGGTCAAAAAATATTTACTGGGCCCAACTATGTGCCACCTCTGCTCTGAGCACTGGGAATATAATGTTTGATTGTGCATTTTGCAAGTAACTGAGAGCTAGGAAAACAGTTATATGTTTTATTTTTTTATTTTTATTATTATTATTATTATTTTGAGACAGAGTCTCTCTCTGTCGCCCAGGCTGGAGTGCGGTGGCGCAATCTTGGCTCACTGCAAGCTCTGCTTCCCAGGTTCACAGCATACTCCTGCCTCAGCCTCCTGAGTAGCTGGGACTACAGGCGCCCGCCACCACGCCTGGCTAATTTTTTGTATTTTTTTTAGTAGAGACAGGGTTTCACCCTGTCGGCCAGGATGGTCTCGATCTCTTGACCTCATGATCTGCTCACCTCGGCCTCCCAAAGTGCTGGGATTACAGGCGTGACCCACCGCGCCTGGCCTGTTTTTTTTTTTGTTTTTTTTGTTTTTTTGAGACAGAGTCTCTCTCGGTTTCCCAGGCTGGAGTGCAGTGATGCGCGCTTACTGCAACCTCTGCCTCCTGAGCTCAAGCGATTCTCCTGCCTCAGCCTTCTGAGTAGCTGGGATTACAGGCGCATGCCACCACACCTGGCTAATTTTTGTATTTTTAGTAGAGACGGGGTTTCACCATGTTGGTCAGGCTTGTTTCGAGCTCCTGACCTTGTGATCCTCCCGCTTCGGTCTCCCAAAGTGCTAGGATGACAGGCATGAGCCACTTCGTCCAGCCAACAGTTCTGTTAAATACACATAACATACAATGGCCAAGTTGTTTGCGTTTGTGTTTGCGTTTTTGTTTTTTCAATTTTTCAATTTTTTTTTTTTCTTTGGAAATGGGGTCTTGCTCTGTCACCCAGGCTGGAGTGCAGTGGCGCAGTCTCTGCTCACTGCAAGCTCCTCCTCCCAGGTTCACACCATTCTCCTGCCTCAGCCTCCTGAGTAGCTGGGACTATAGGAGCCCACCACCACGCCTGGCTAATTTTTTTTGTATTTTTAGTAGAGACGGGGTTTCACCGTGTTAGCCAAGATGGTCTCGATCTCCTGACCTCGTGATTCGCGTACCTCGGCGTCCCAAAGTGCTGGGATTATAGGCGTGAGCCACCACGCCCGGCCCTGTTTTTCAATTTTTTAATAAAATCAAGAGAGGGTCTCGCTATGTTGCCCAGGCTGGTCTTGAACTTCTGGGCTCAAGCAATCCTCCTGCCTCAGTCTCCCAAAGTGCTGGGACTACAGGCATGAACCACCATACCTGGCCTCCAAGTTTGTTTACATGAAAACAGAATGACTACTTTTTTTTTTTTAATTGAGACAGAGTCTCGCTCTGTCGCCCAGGCTGGAGTGCAGTGACGCGATCTCGTCTCACTGCAACCTCAACCACTTGGGTTCAAGCGATTCTTGTGTCTCAGTCTCCTGAGTAGCTGGGACTACAGGCACGCACCACCACGCCCAGCTAATTCTTTTGCATTTTTAGTAGACAGAGTTTTGCCATGTTGGCCAAGCTGGTCTTGAACTCCTAACCTGAAGTAAGCCGCCTGCCTCGGCCTCCCAAAGTGCTGGGATTACAGGTGTGAGCCACTGTGCCTGGCCACATACTTCTTATAAAACTCTTAAGGTAGCCACATTTTTTTTCCAGTGAACGTGGTTTAAATAAAATGTGAGACACTCCCATTACTTTAATGGAATAGAGTTATATCAACTTTTTATTTTTATTTATTTGTTTATTTATTTATTTTTGAGACAGAGTCTCTCTCACTGTGTTGGCCAGATTGGAGTGCATCGGCATGATCACAGCACAATCATAGCTTGGTGCAGCCTCAACCTCAGCCACCCAAGTAGCTGGGAACAAAGGTGCACGCCACCATGCCTGGCTTTTTTTTTTTTTTTTTTGCAGAGACTAGGTCTCACTATGTTGCCCAGGCTAGTCTGCAACTCCTGGGCTCAAGCAGTCCTCTCACCTTGGCCTCCCAAAGTGTTGGGGTTATAGGCTTGAGCCACTGTGCCTGGCTTGAATTCTTTAATCTATCTAAAGTTTCTTTTTGTGACTATTGGTAAGGGGGAGATTTTTTCCAAATAATTAGCTAGTTGTTTCAAACATTTTGAATAGTTTATCCTTATTTTACTGATAGGAAGTGCCAACTTTCACAAACACTAAATTTGCTTGTATCTGTTTCCAGGTACTATTTTGTTCCTGTTTAGTAACTTATTTTAACAATTAGAACTTTTGCTATCCTGTTTGGCAGGAGCCTCCTCTTCGTTCTTTTTTTTTTTTTTTTTTTTTTTTTTTGAGACAGAGTCTCACTCTGTCATCCGGGCTGGAGTGCAGTGGCACAATTTCAACTCACTGCAACCTCCCCCTCCCAGCTTCAAGCGATTCTCGTGCTTCAGCCTCCCAAGTAGCTGGGATTACAGGTATGCACCACCATCCTGGCTAATTTTTATATTTTTGGTAGAGACAGGGTCTTGCCATGTTGGTCAGGCTGGTCTCGAACTCCTGTCCTCAAGTGATCCACTCGCCTTGGCCTCCCAAAGTCCTGGGGTTACAGGTGTGAGCCACCACGCATGCCTGTCTTTGTTCTTTTTCCATATTGCCTTGGCTCTTCCTTCAAATCTTTTCTCCTTGACTAGCTTTAGAATCACAAGGGTTCCAGCTCCACCCCTGCTTCTTTCTTTTTTTTTTTGTTTGTTTTTTGGAGACGGAGTCTCACTCTGTCACCCAGGCTGGAGTGCAATGGCATGATCCCAGCTTGCTGCAACCTCTGCTTCCCGGGTTCAAGCAATTCTCCTGCCTCAGCCTTCCAAGTAGCTGGGATTACAGGCACATGCCACCACGCCCAGCTAATTTTGTATTTTTAATACAGACAGGGTTTTACCATATTGGCCAGGCTTATCTTGAAGTCCCCACCTCAGGTGATCCACCCACCTCGGCTTCCCAAAGTGCTGGGATTACAGGCGCATGCCACCATGCCCAGCTAATTTTGTATTTTTAGTAGAGACGGGGTTTTACCATGTTGGCCAGGCTCATCTCGAACTCCCCCACCTGAGGTGATCCACCCACCTCAGCCTCCCAAAGTTCTGGGATTACAGGCGTGAGCCACCGCGTCCGGCCTCCCTGCTTCTTTATTTAGTCCACTGACTCCTTGCCTGAAGCCTCTGCTTTCTTTGGTGCCAGGCCCCACTGGCCTGGCTCACCCTCTGGTCCTCCATGCCCCCTAACAGGCACCGCATGCGTGGGGAGACCACCCTGTGGAACCCTGGCTGTGACCATGCAGGTATTGCCACCCAGGTGGTGGTGGAGAAGAAGCTATGGCGTGAGCAGGGACTGAGCCGGCACCAGCTGGGCCGCGAGGCCTTTCTACAGGAAGTCTGGAAGTGGAAGGAGGAGTGAGTATGCAGCATCCCTGTGGGCATCGCAGCCCTGCCTCCCTGTCCCCTATCCAGAAGACCTCTGTCACCTGTAACCCCTTGGCCACAGGGTCAGACCCTCCCACAGAGGCAGAGTCAGTTGGCTCTAGGGCCCAGGTAAATTTCAGGGGGATGGGTGATCTCCACACTGCCCAGTCAGCCACCTGATGTCTCCCTCTAGCCCAGGCACGAGTGCTGACCTCAGCCTGTCTGCTTCCAGGAAAGGTGACCGGATTTACCACCAGTTGAAGAAGCTTGGCAGCTCCTTGGACTGGGATCGAGCCTGTTTCACCATGGACCCTGTGCGTGGGAGGAGTGTCAAAGCTGGGGCAGGAGTAGGAGTCTCCCCAGGGTGGGACCCCCACAGGAGAAAGCAGAGGTGTTGTGGCCCTCTCTCAGGAGCTGGCCCATGTAAAACACCATGGAGGGCTCAGCTGCAAATGCCACTTCCCACCCCTCGCCATGGCCCTTTCCATATCATGGCCCTTCATGTTCCCTGTCTTGGCTCTGGGAGCTCCAGATTCCTCCAGATGGCACATGATCAGGACCCCGTCTCCCATGGAGCCTGAACTCCCAGTGTCCTCTGCACCAGTACTTGTCCCCAGCTGATTGTCTTCCTCGCCATCTGCAGCATTACAAGGCTTGTTGCCTGCTCTTGTGTTCCCTTAGTCCTCTCTCCCCCTCAAGGAAAGAAGGAAAGTACTCCCCTCAGAGGGGTCTTTGTGCTGGCCAGTGGGACTCTGTATGGGCAAGGCCTCACTGGAGCCCTGGGTGTCTGCCTGGGCCTCCAGGCACAAGGCCCATCTCTCTGACTTCTCCCTCCTCCACCCCAGAAACTCTCAGCAGCTGTGACAGAGGCCTTTGTCCGGCTTCACGAGGAAGGCATCATCTATCGCAGTACCCGCCTTGTTAACTGGTCCTGCACCCTCAACTCCGCCATCTCTGACATTGAGGTGCGCCCCCCAACCTGGCCTGTCTCCATCTCCAATCTACCCTGGCCCTGGCCCTGGCCCCTGGGCCACGCCTCTAAATACCCATTTTACAGGTGGATAAGAAGGAGCTGACAGGTCGCACCCTGCTCTCCGTGCCTGGCTACAAGGAGAAGGTGGAGTTCGGGGTCCTCGTGTCCTTTGCCTATAAGGTCCAAGGCTCAGGTAGGAGCCAGGGGCACCAGGATCCTGGGCTGGGAGTGGCAGGAAGGGGCCAAGGCCAAGACCACAAGGCCTTCTGTCACCCCAGATAGCGACGAGGAGGTGGTGGTGGCAACAACTCGGATCGAGACAATGCTGGGAGATGTGGCTGTAGCTGTGCACCCCAAAGATACCAGATACCAGGTGGGGGACTGTCCACAGTTAGGGAAGGAGTTCTGGCCAAAAAGGGCTCCCATCCTTATGGGGTGGAGGGGTTGGACTTAGGCCCCTGGCTGAGGAGAGGAAACTGGGTTAGAAACTGGTCTTCAGCTTCTTTCCCAGCTCTGAGGGTAGAGCTATTGGGGACTGTTTGGGGGAGTTCAAGTGTTGGGATAGTCAGGGCCCTGGAAAGGAAGGACTTGGGCCCAGCCCTTCGTGCATTTTTAAAAAGTTAAATAGCCAGGCACGGTGGCTCATGCCTGTAATCCCAGCGCTTTGGGAGGCTGAGGCAGGTGAATCATAAGGTCACGAGTTCGAGACTAGCCTGGCCAACATAGTGAAACCCCATCTCTACTAAAAATACAAAAAATTAGCCAGTTGTAGTGGCGGGTGCCTGTAATCTCAGCTACTCAGGAGGCTGAGGCAGGAGAATCGCTTGAACCTGGGATGCGGAGGTTGCAGTGAGCTGAGATCACTCTGCTGCACTCCAGCCTTGGTGACAGAGCGAGACTCCGTCTCAAAAAAAAAAAAAAAAGTTAAATAGAGACAAGGTCTCACTCTGTTAACCATGCTGATCTTGAACTCCTGGCCTCAAGGAAGCCTCCTGCCCCAGCCTCCCAAAGTGTGGGGGTTAGAGATGTGAGCCATGGCACCAGGCCCCTTCATGCTTTTATTTATTTATTTATTTTTGAGAGAGGGTCTCACTCTATCGCCCAGGCTAGAGTGCAGTGGCACCATCTTGGCTCACTGCAACCTCCACCTCCCGGGTTCAAGCAGTACTTGTGCCTCAGCCTCTTGAGTAGCTGAGATTACAGGCACGCGTCACCACACCTGGCTAATTTTTTTTTTGTATTTTTAGTAGAGACTAGGTTTCCCCATGTTGGCCAGGCTGGTCTCCAACTCCCGGCCTCAAGTGATCTGCCCACCTCAGCCTCCCAAAGTTCTGGGATTACAGGTGGGAATCACGGCGTCTGGCCCTGCTTCATGCGTTTTTGGTATCTTTCCGCCCCCAGCACCTGAAGGGGAAGAACGTGATCCACCCATTCCTGTCTCGGAGCCTTCCCATTGTCTTCGATGAATTTGTGGACATGGACTTTGGCACAGGTGGGCAAGGGGCTGGTCCTGTGGGGAGAGGAAAAGACTGGAGCTGCACCCTAGCTGTCCATCTTCTCTCAGAGAAAAAGAAAATAAGCTTCAGCCAAATAGACAGAGCTTGGGGTGGTTCTCAAGGGACTGTATTAGACAAGTGGGGGCCAGGAGTGGTCTCGGAGCTACATCCTTCAGCAAAAGAGGTGAGTGTAGGAAGGAACTCCGTGGAGTCCCTCATGACCTGGGCATCCTGATGTACACCCAGGTGCTGTGAAGATCACCCCCGCACATGACCAAAATGACTATGAAGTTGGGCAGCGGCACGGGCTGGAGGCCATCAGCATCATGGACTCCCGGGGGGCCCTCATCAATGTGCCTCCGCCTTTCCTGGTGAGGCTGCCTGAGGCAAGAGTGCCCGGGTCAGGGAGATGGAGGGATGGCTGGGCATCGCCATGATGAGGCCTCATTCCTACCCAGGGCCTGCCCAGGTTTGAGGCCAGGAAAGCGGTGCTGGTGGCGCTGAAGGAGCGGGGACTGTTCCGTGGCATTGAGGACAACCCCATGGTGGTGCCACTTTGCAAGTGAGGGTGGGGGCCTGGGACGGGAGGAAGATGGAGGGCTCCTCAGGGTTTTACCGCCTGGCCTTCTCACCTACGTGTACCCCCAGCCGGTCGAAGGACGTGGTAGAGCCTCTGCTGCGGCCGCAGTGGTACGTTCGCTGCGGGGAGATGGCCCAGGCTGCCAGCGCCGCTGTGACTCGGGGTGACCTCCGCATCCTGCCTGAGGCCCATCAGCGCACATGGCATGCCTGGATGGACAACATCCGGTGTGTAGGGTCCTCAGTGTGGGAGGGGCTTGCCGAGGGCTGAGCAGGGCTCACTCGGGCCAGGCTCCATCAGGCCCTCCCTGATTTCTCCTCCCCGACATTTGCAGGGAGTGGTGCATTTCCAGGCAGCTGTGGTGGGGCCATCGCATCCCAGCCTACTTTGTCACTGTCAGTGACCCAGCGGTGCCCCCTGGGGAGGTGAGCAGAGGGCCAGAGCTAGCTGCTGGGACACCCTGCTGGAGTGGTGGGTTTACTGGGTCCTTGGTGGGGGGAGGGGCAGGGTGAGCCAGAAGCAGACACACCCCCTTGGGTAATCACTGCACCTGTGGCAGGACCCTGATGGGCGGTACTGGGTGAGTGGACGCAATGAGGCGGAGGCCCGGGAGAAGGCAGCCAAGGAGTTCGGAGTGTCCCCTGACAAGATCAGTCTCCAGCAAGGCAAGGCGGGGCTTTGAGGGTCTGGAGGGAGTTGTGGGGGGCAGAGCTCCACTCCCTCTGACCTCTGACCTTTGGCCTCTCTCAGATGAGGATGTATTGGATACCTGGTTCTCCTCTGGCCTCTTCCCCTTATCCATTTTGGGCTGGCCCAACCAGGTGTGTTCCTGGGGCCGGGGCTTGGCGGGACAGGGGACTGGAGGGTGGGTGTTGGCTCCCCTTCACACCCTGGTCTGCCCTCAGTCAGAAGACCTGAGTGTGTTCTACCCCGGGACACTGCTGGAGACCGGTCATGACATCCTCTTCTTCTGGGTGGCCCGGATGGTCATGCTGGGCCTGAAGCTCACGGGCAGGCTGCCCTTTAGAGAGGTGCGGAGACAGCCGAGACCCTCCCATCGCCCCCAGCCTCCTCTCCTACCGTCCTGTGCTGCAGCGCAGACCCCGCGTGGCTGGGGCATGGGGTTAGCTGTGGGCAGGCCTGACCCGGGGGCTGGTGTGGGGTTGAAATCCAGCCTGGGCCCTGCTCAGTGATTCCTGTGCCCAGGGCTTCATCTTCCCAGAGGAAGGAGTGCTTCTGATTCACATAAAGGCGCTCAACGAGCTCTTGGGGACACTCAGTGGGACCTGAGGTTCACAGTGGGGTAGACCAGACACAGTCCTGGTCGGGGCACTGAGGCCGGGGAAGGAGAGGACTGAGTCTCATGGGCCTCCCCACCTGCTCTGCAGGTCTACCTCCATGCCATCGTGCGAGATGCTCACGGCCGGAAGATGAGCAAGTCTCTAGGCAATGTCATCGATCCCCTGGACGTCATCTATGGAATCTCCCTGCAGGTGGGCTGGGTGCTGGGCCAGCCAGGAAGGGCCGTGGGGCTGTGGTCACAGCCACCTGACTGCTCCCACTCCACCCTCAGGGCCTCCACAACCAGCTGCTGAACAGCAACCTGGATCCCAGCGAGGTGGAGAAGGCCAAAGAAGGGCAGGTATGGAGGGTTGGGCTGGGCTAAGCAGGAGCACAGCGTGGATGGGGCTGGCTGAGGACGCTCCTCCCCCTGCCTCTTCCCTGTAGAAAGCTGACTTCCCAGCGGGGATTCCTGAATGTGGCACCGATGCTCTCCGGTTTGGATTATGTGCCTACATGTCCCAGGGTATGGCCCCCAAAGCGTCCCTCCCAGCCACTCCTTCCTCCTTCTGTGAGGCCCATCCCTCTTCTCCACCCTGAGCCTCTGGTGGGCATGGGCTGGGAAGAGGGTGATGAGGACTCACATCTCACCCCCGACCCAGGTCGTGACATCAACCTGGATGTGAACCGGATACTGGGTTACCGCCACTTCTGCAACAAGCTCTGGAATGCCACCAAGTTTGCCCTTCGTGGCCTTGGGAAGGGTTTTGTGCCCTCACCCACCTCCCAGGTAAGGGCCTGGTGGGCAGCAAAGCTGGCAGCACTCACACAGGCTGTACCCCTGTCCGGAGCAGCCTCCATGTAGCTGGGGGGACAGATAGACACAGAGACAGACAGTTAAAGGGAAAGCCCAGCGCATTGGGGGCTGGGGCCTGTCACTTCTTCCCAGATCCTGGCACATAGGTGGTTGCTTTGGACTCATCAGACTCTGGATGAAGATTTGCCCATGACTCCTGCCCCCATGGGGTTCTGGCACCCTCCCCTGGCCCGCCGGCTGATACACCCTCTCTCCCCAAGCCCGGAGGCCATGAGAGCCTGGTGGACCGCTGGATCCGCAGCCGCCTGACAGAGGCTGTGAGGCTCAGCAATCAAGGCTTCCAGGCCTACGACTTCCCGGCCGTCACCACTGCCCAGTACAGCTTCTGGCTCTATGAGCTCTGTGATGTCTACTTGGTGAGAAGGAGCACAGCGGGGCAGGGGATGGTGGGGGCAGGTGGGCAGCAGAGCCCTGGGCTCAGTTTTGCCAGAGTTGGCCTTGAGACCTAAGCCAACCCATCCCCTTCCCAGTCCTCACAGGCACAGCGAGGGCTCAAGGCTAGACCTCCAGCCGTGAGCCCTGTACCTCTCGTCCCCTAGGAGTGCCTGAAACCTGTACTGAATGGGGTGGACCAGGTGGCAGCTGAGTGTGCCCGCCAGACCCTGTACACTTGCCTGGACGTTGGCCTGCGGCTGCTCTCACCCTTCATGCCCTTCGTGACGGAGGAGCTGTTCCAGAGGCTGCCCCGGAGGATGCCGCAAGCTCCCCCTAGCCTCTGTGTTACCCCCTACCCGGAGCCCTCAGAGGTATGGCATGGCCTGGAGAGGGGAGTCTGACCTGCCCTCCAGGCCCCCTCACCCCCTCCTCCACCCCACAGTGCTCCTGGAAGGACCCCGAGGCAGAAGCCGCCCTTGAGCTGGCGCTAAGCATCACGCGAGCCGTGCGCTCCCTGCGGGCCGACTACAACCTCACCCGGATCCGGCCTGACTGTGAGCCTCAGGCCCCCATGTCCGCCCCATCCCACTGTCCCCTCAGCCTACTCTGGGACCCAGTGTCCGGCAGTGACTGCTTGGTTTCCTGTCTCCATGGAGCTAGGCCTCACCTTTCTCCCTCCCTGGCAGGTTTCCTGGAAGTGGCGGATGAGGCCACGGGCGCCCTGGCATCGGCGGTGTCGGGCTACGTGCAGGCCCTGGCCAGCGCAGGTGTGGTGGCTGTTCTGGCCCTGGGGGCTCCCGCCCCCCAGGGTTGCGCTGTGGCTCTGGCTTCTGATCGCTGCTCCATCCACCTGCAGCTTCAGGGGCTGGTGGACCCTGCACGGGAGCTGGGCAAGCTGCAAGCCAAGCGAGTTGAGGCCCAGCGGCAGGCCCAGCGTCTGCGGGAACGCCGTGCTGCCTCGGGCTATCCTGTCAAGGTGCCGCTCGAAGTCCAGGAGGCAGATGAAGCCAAGGTGTGTGGCCTGGGTGGGCATTTCCCACACCATCCCCTTCCTCCATCAAAACCCTGGTCTGGGCTGGTCCGAGTGCAGTGGTGTTGACAACTAATTGATCGTAACCAGTTACAGATTTCTTTGTTCCTTCTCCACTCCCACTAGCCTTAAAAAACAAAACAGCCTGGCTCAGTGGCTCACACCTGTAATCCCAGAAATTTGGGAGGCCAAGGTGGGTGGATCACTTGAGCCCAGGGGTTTGAGACCAGCCAACATGGTGAAATCCCATCTCTACAACAAAAATACAAAAATTAGCTGGCCATAGTGGCACACACTTGGGGTCCCAGCTACTCGGGGGGCTGAGGTGGGCGGATTGCTTGAGCCTGGGAGGTCAAGACTGCAGTGAGCCGAGATCATGCCACTGCACTTGAGCCTGGGCAACAGAGAGAAGACCCTGTCTGGAAAAAAAACAAAACAAAACAAAAACCAATCCTGGTCTGGAAGCTGGACTCTGTACCCAACCCTGGGGAATCCACTGGGGAGCATGGAGCCCAGGCGCTTTGAGCAGGGACCATAGAAGGCCCTCCCCTTACACATGGGGAGCAGCTGGGGGCTGGGCACAACCCAGGGTCACACAACAGGTGGGAGACGGAGGCTGACCTAGAACCAGGCATCCTATCTCCCAGCCAGACCCTTCGTACCCCACCCAGCTGCCCAAAATGTGGAAACCTGCATGCCTGGGGCTGGGCTTGGGGTCCACATGTAGTCGGGGAGCCCTGGGCCTCCCACCACTTACTTTCAAGCCTACTGGGCTGACCCTGGAAGGCCAGTCTTGTTTGTCCCCTGCCTCCTGGGTTCCGCCAGAGAGAAGCAGTGGAGTAAACTGCACAGACACAGAGAAAACCAGTCATGGAGGCCAAGAGCTAGAGAGCCTTGAGTGGACGTGGTTAATCTCACTTGGTTCTCCCAAGAGCCCTGGGAGGGGGGCAATATCATCATCATCATCTGACAAATGAAGTGACCGGCCTGGGAGACTGTGCTCTCCTGCTTAGGTGGGGACACTGAATGGGGAACACGTAGGCTCTGAGGTTCCTTTGTTCTTGGGGACTCACCACTTGGTGGAAAAAGGCAAGACCCAAGAGGTGGTGGTGGAAGTGGGGGTGCTGGTGGGAATGGGTGGGGAGCCAGGCCAGCCAGGTTCACGCCTCCTCTGAGCTACTGACCTCCCATGGTCCTCGCTCATCTTTCCAACTTTGTTGTCCTGGGTGTTTGGGGGTCTCTTCACTTGGACCTGGGTCCTCACCCACCCCCTGGTTCCACTCCAGCTCCAACAGACAGAAGCAGAGCTCAGGAAGGTGGATGAGGCCATCGCCCTATTCCAGAAGATGCTGTGATCCACCACCCAGCTTCACCCCTCACCCCCAGCGGCTCACCATGGGGATGGCAGCAATAAAATATTTTCCCACAAAATCCTCTTGTCATCTGTGGTGGGGGCAGAGAGGGGAGCAGAGGGGCTGGGTGCCTGAATCCTTGGGGGCTGCAGGGTGGGAGTGAGGCCCTGGTTCTGGAGGGCAGAGGGGTGCGTCTATCTGGGTCTGTCCCTGGCACTGTGCCAGGCCTGAGTCACGCTGCTTACTCCCTTCCTCCTCCCCAGCTCTCACTCACCTCCGCACTGCAGCCAAGGGAGGCCCGCCCTGGCGTGGGCTGCTGCCTGTGGCTTTGGGCAGGCAGGAGCGAAAGGGCCAGGGGTTGCCTGTCCTCCCCCACCCTGTTGAGGCCTTCCTCCCCCTCTGCTGAGCCTCGGTTAATTATAACTCTGACCTAAGTGCCCTGTGACGTCAAGCCCGGGCCAGCCCTGCCCAGGAGACCCAGCAACCAGGTAGGGGAGGGCCTGAGAGGACTCAGGCTTCCTGAGCATGGGGAGTGTTTCTGCGGCAGGGCTGGGGACGCAGCCAGGGACTGGGGAGGGGGGCGTGGGGGAGGAACCTTGGACCCCTCTCCTGGCAGGTGTGTATGTCCCTAATGGTCCGATGAGGCCCTCAGGTTGTCTGGGTGACAGCGAGAGGGTGGGGAAGCCAGGCTGGAGCAGACACGACTTTTGAGGTAAAGCAGGTTCCCATGGAGACCCGCAGAGCCGGCCTGCCCTGGAATCGCGGCTGCTTCCTCCTCCCTTGAGAGCCTTCTGTCTCCCAGGTCCATGTCTCAGCCATGCTCCCCACGGAGGTCCCCCAATCCCACCCGGGCCCCTCAGCGTTGCTTCTGCTGCAGCTGTTGCTGCCCCCCACATCTGCCTTCTTCCCCAACATCTGGAGCCTGCTGGCTGCCCCTGGCTCCATCACCCACCAAGACCTAACTGAGGAGGCAGCGCTCAACGTCACCCTGCAGCTCTTCCTGGAGCAGCCACCCCCAGGCCGCCCCCCTCTTCGTCTTGAGGACTTCCTGGTGAGCATCCCAGGGTCCTGTCACACCCCTGCCAGAGTCCCCAATTCCATGGGGCCTCTACTCCTTGAGGGCTCTGGTTGCCAAGAGAAGAGACACCCATGGCCCCACCCCTGCAGCAATAATACCCAGTAGTCTTGGTCCTGAAATTAGGAGTCCCCCTCCTTAGAAAGGTCCGGGACTGTCCCTCCTTTGTGGGGCTCAGGACCCTCATACCCAGCCTTGAGTGTCAGTTGCTGAGATAAGGTGGGCAACAGTCAATCCAAAGGGCCTCCCTGGAGCCCCGTCGCCCGCTATTCTCCCCAGGGTCGAACACTCCTTGCTGATGACCTCTTTGCCGCCTACTTTGGACCTGGTTCTTCTCGGCGGTTCCGAGCAGCCTTAGGTGAGGTGTCTCGTGCCAATGCAGCCCAGGACTTCCTGCCAACTTCCAGGAATGACCCCGACCTGCACTTTGATGCTGAGCGACTGGGTCAGGGACGCGCGCGCCTGGTAGGGGCTCTGCGGGAGACCGTGGTGGCAGCCAGGGCCCTTGACCACACCCTGGCTCGCCAGCGCCTCGGGGCTGCACTTCATGCCCTGCAGGTGAGAACAGGGTTGGGTTGATGGTCAGAGGGGTCTTCACTTCCGTGCCTGTCCGGGATGGAGCGCGTCCTATGGTGCCTTCTTGATCATGTCTCCTCCACTCTGGAAGGGGTGGGCACTGGCACGCGGTGCCCCGAGGCTGTGTCCCAGTTCCCCACCTCCAAGCTGGCAGTGCTTCCTGTAGGAACAGCAAGGAGGGCGCTGTGGCTGGAGAGAAGTGAGGGTGAGAGAGGAAGGCTGCGAGGTCAGAGAGCTGAGGGAGCAGCACACGCAGCAGGACTCTGCAGGCCGAGAGAGGCCTTGGGTTAGACTCTGAGCTGGGAAGAGATGCTGGGACAGTTTCCACCTGGGCAAAGCTCTGCTCTGAGCAATGGAGAGAGGGCAGTGGAGGGGACTTGGGGTGTCTGGTGGGAGCAGTAGGGGTGGGAGGGGACTTTCGGGATGGGGAACTCAAAGGAGTGGCATATTAGTGCTGGAGATGGTGAGAAAGGCCAGACTAGTGCCTCACTCCCCTTCTCCTGTCCTCCGGACCAGGATTTCTACAGTCATAGCAACTGGGTGGAGCTGGGCGAGCAGCAGCCACACCCTCACCTCCTCTGGCCAAGGCAGGAGCTCCAGAACCTGGCACAAGGTATGGCTGTGACCCTGGTGGTGAGGCAGGAGTCCACAGGGCCACCTCAGTCCACCCAGCCACTGTGTCACATTCTGAAGTCCCAGAGGGTATGATGTTACTTAATCTCCACAAGGACTGAGGTCCCCCAGTCCAAGCAACGCCTGGCTCAGTTAAGCAGCTTCCCCAAGGTCACACAGGGAAAAGTAGCTAGGACCAGGTCTCCAGACCTCAGTCCCGTCTTAAGTGTGGCTTCCTCCCCGCACTGACTCCCATGGGGCCTTCTCTCACAGCCCCCTCACCCTCTCACCTGGAAGCTGCCTCCTGTCCACAACTCACAGAGGGCATAATCCCCATAGGATTGGTCCCTACACGTACTGTGTTTGTTTTTTTCTTATTATTTATTTATGTATTTATTTTTTAGAGATGAGGTCTCACTGTGTGGCGCAGGCTGCTCTGCCCGCCTTAGCCTCCTAAAGTGCTGGGATTACAGTCGTGAGCCACCGCACCCAGCCTGTGCTGTGTTTTCCAGCACAGCCCTAGTTTCAAACATTCAGGCTCACTGCGGGCCCATGATCCTAGGTTTTAGTTCAGAAAGCTTTGCTAGGGAACTTCTGGGTGTTCGCCTCATCCCAGCTGGGAGGAGAAGCTGAAAAGGTTTGGGTGGGTGGGGATAAAGGCTGGGGGTGGCAGAATCTTGGGTTCTAGCCCTGCCCTCTCTTCCCAGTGGCCGATCCTACCTGCTCCGATTGCGAGGAGTTGAGCTGCCCCAGGAATTGGCTGGGCTTCACACTCCTCACCTCTGGCTACTTTGGAACTCATCCCCCGAAACCTCCAGGTACCAGACAAGAAAGTTCCCCAGAAGTAAGGGGAGAAAGTCATTCCCTTACAGGATCTCTGTCCTGTAGGCCCGTATGCCTTTGCTATGGCATCTCCTCCTAGGAGGAGAGGATGCTGGGAACAGGGTGGGTGGAGGAAAGTCCCCTGAGGAGGCTGTGGTGGGGTTGAGGTAGGGGAGCAACTTCTTCCTCCGCTGATAGGATTTCTCCCTTGTCATAGGCAGTTTTGGGGGACTGGCTGGAGGGATCAGGGGATCCACCATGTGCTGTGGTGACTGACCACCACGCCCTAAGATTTACTCCAGAATTCCCCTCCACAAAGCACCATCCTTTTTATCCTTTTTTTTTTTTTTTTTTTTTGAGATGGAGTTTTGTTCTTTTTGCCCAGGCTGGAGTACAGTGGCACGATCTCGGCTCACTGCAACCTCCGCCTCCCAGGTTCAAGCGATTCTCCTGCCTCAGCCTCCCGAGTAGCTGGGATTACGGGCATGTGCCACCACGCCCGGCTAATTTTGTACTTTTAGTAGAGACAGGGTTTCATCATGTTGGCCAGGCTTGTCTCAAACTCCTGACTTCAGGTGATCCACCCACCTCAGCCTCCCAAAATGCTGGGATTACTGGTGTGAGCCACCATGCCCAGCCATCATTTATTTATTTATTTATTTTTTGAGACCGAGTCTTGCTCTGCCACCCAGGCTGGAGTGCAGTGGCGTGATCTCGGTTCACTGCAACCTCCGCCTCTTGGGATCAAGCTATTTTCCTTCCTCAGCCTCCTAAGTAGCTGGGATTACAAGCACGCGCCACCACACCTGGCTAATTTTTATAGTTTTAGTAGAAACAGAGCTTCACCATGTTGGCCAGGCTGGTCTTGAACTCCTGATCTCAGATGATCTGCCGGCCTCGGCCTCCCAAAGCGCTGGGATTCCAGGCGTGAGCCACCGCGCCAACCCCGTCATCATTTCTTGCTGAACCCTTGCTGAGGGGTGAGAGGGTCAGGCCAGGCCTGAAAGGGCCTCATTTTCTTAGGAGGCAGTGGGTTTTTGACCTCCACTCTCCAGATCCCTTTCCCCAACCCAGGGAAATGTAGCCACGGGGGCCATTTTGACCGGAGCAGCTCCCAGCCACCGAGGGGAGGCATCAACAAGGACAGCACATCCCCAGGCTTCTCCCCTCACCACATGCTGCACCTCCAGGCTGCAAAACTGGCCCTTCTAGCCTCCATCCAGGCCTTCAGCCTTCTGCGAAGCCGCCTGGGAGACAGGGATTTCTCCAGGTGAGTGGCCTCCTGGGGATGGACCCCTTCATGGGGAGGCGCTCCTGCGGGAAGGGAGAAACCAGGCGCTGGGGACAAACGTGCAGGCCCTTCACTGTGTCTCTGGCTTGCTCCCCAGGCTGCTGGACATCACCCCAGCCTCCAGCCTGAGCTTTGTCCTGGACACCACGGGCAGCATGGGTGAGGAGATCAACGCTGCCAAAATCCAGGCTCGCCACCTTGTGGAGCAGCGGAGAGGCAGCCCCATGGAGCCTGTCCACTATGTCCTGGTGCCTTTTCATGACCCAGGTAAGTGTGGTCTGGCTAGGACAGTAGAGGGGAGGAAAATTCAAGGTAAGGGATAGACTGGGCGTGGTGGCTCACGCCTGTAATCCCAGCACTTTGGGAGGCTGAGGCAGGTGGATCACCTGAGGTCGGGAGTTTGAGACCAGCCTGACTAATATGGAGAAACCCCGTCTCTACTAAAAATACAAAATTAGCCGGGCGTGGTGGTGGGCACCTATAATCCCAGCTACTCGGGAGGCTGAGGCAGGAGAATCGCTTGAACCCAGGAGGCAGAGGTTGCGGTGAGCCCCGAGATCGTGCCTTTGCACTCCAGCCTGGGCAACAAGAGCAAAAAGCTCTGTCACAAAAAAAAAAAAAAAAAAAAAAAAAAAGAAAAGAAAGAAAAAAAAAAGAAAAGATAAAAAGGTAAGGGATAAAGGCCTGTGGTGAGGAAGTGGGCTCGGGGTGGCACTTCCTGTAGTCCCGAGTGAGCCTCTACTGTGTGCATACAGAAAATTAGCAGCAACCTGGGTGGGGTGGCTCACACCTGTAATCCCAGCACTTTGGGAGGCAGAGGTGGGTGGATCGTTTGAGCCCAGGATTTCAAGACCAACCTGGGCAACACAGAGAAACACAGGTCTCTACAAAAAAATTAATAAAAATTATGTGTGGGTGTGGTGGCACATGCCTATAGTCCCAGCTACTTGGGAAGCTGAGGCAGGAGGATCACTTGAGCCCAGGAGACTGAGGTTGCAGTGAGCCGTGATGGCACTACTGCACTCCAGAGCGGCCTGGGTGACGCAGTGAGACCCTGTCTCTAAAAAAAAAAAAAAAGATAACTAGCAGACTTGCCTCCCACTCTTTCTAAAATGGCAGCACTTTCCATGAGTTTAATGCATGATTCATGCTTTGGCACGTGGCCTCTGCTTTCTTAGGCTTTCATGCTAATAAACCATTTTCTTTTTTTTTTTTTTTTTTTTTTTTTTGAGACGGAGTCTCGCTCTGTCGCCCAGGCTGGAGTGCCATGGCGCGATCTCGGCTCACTACAAGCTCCGTCTCCCGGGTTCACGCCATTCTCCTGTCTCAGCCTCCTGAGTAGCTGGGACTACAGGCGCCCGCCACCACGCCCGGCTAATTTTTGTATTTTTAGTAGAGACGGAGTTTCACCGTGTTAACCAGGATGGTCTCCATCTCCTGACCTCGTGATCCGCCCGCCTCGGCCTCCCAAAGTGCTGGGATTACAGGTGTGAGCCACCGTGCCCGGCCGCCATTTTCAATTCTCTCCATTTCCTATAGACAGAGATTGGTATCAAGATGGGGTTGTTGGGGCCAGGCTTCTGGGAAGCATCTGAGATAACTAGCTACATTGTATTCCTTTTCCATTGATTAGAAGTTAGACTCTCTGGCTTGAGTCTGACTGTGTGTCTTTAGGCTGGTCATGTAAACTTTCTTTGCCTCGATTTCATCATCTGTAAAATGGGTATCAGTTATCACATCAGGGTGGGGCAGGATGTTGGAATGTCATCAGTTAAGGCTATTTTCACTTCTTTTGTGGATCTTCAGTTGCTTCAGGCCATCTGGATGTATAAGTGCCAGTCACAGGGGATATGATTGGTTAGCTTGGGCTCAGAGGCCTGACACCTCCCTCATCCTGCCTAACTCCCAGAGTTGAAATGATGATCAAATAAAATGCCTACTGGACTGAGAGTTGCCTAAATTTGAGTCTTATTTGCCTGCATACATCCTACAGTGGCTGGCATTTAATAGACTTATTATGTTTGATGAAGATATAAATAAAGGTATAACTAAGAACTTAGCACTTATGTGTCAAAGCACTATCTTAAGATTTGCAAAATCAACTCATTTAGTCCTCCCAATAAACCTCTGAGGTAAGTGCTATTCGGTCTCTTTTCTTATGAGGAAACCCAGTTTTTTTTTTTCTTTTCTTTCTTTTTTTTTTTTTTTTGAGAGAGAGAGAGGGAGAGTCTCACTCTGTCACCCAGGTTGGAGTGCAATGGTACAATCATGCCTCACTGCAGCCTCGATTCAAGCAATCCTCCTGCCACAGCCTCCTGAGTAGCTGGGACTACAGATGAGCACCACCATATCTGGCTAATTTTTGTATTTTTTTGTAGAGATGGGGTCTCACTATGTTACCCAGGCTGATCTCGAGCTCCTGGGCTCAAGTGATCCTCCCACTTCAGCCTCTCAAAGTGCTGGGATAATAGGTGTGACCATTTTTTTTTTATATACGCACATGTAGCCAATAAAGGCCTACAGGAAATGCCACCATTTTTTTCAGGGAGTGGAGGCCACCTTCCCACCAGGGACACCTAGGTCTGCCCTGCCCTGCCCCGCCCTGCCCCGCCCTGCACTGACAAGTATGACTTTTTTTTTTTTTTTTTTGAGATGGAGTCTGTCGCCAGACTGGAGTGCAGCGGCACGATCTCGGCTCACTGCAACCTCTGCCTCCCGGGTTCAAGTGATTCTCCTGCCTCAGCCTCCCCAGTAGCTGGGGAGGCTACTGGGGAGCCTCTGGGGAGGCTACTGGGGAGGCTACGGGCATGCATCACCATGCCCAGCTAATTTTTATATTTTTTAGTAGAGACGAGGTTTCACCATGTTGGCCAGGATGGTTTTGATCTCTTGACCTCATGATCCACCCACCTTGGCCTCCCAAAATGCTGGGATTACAGGTGTGAGCCACCGCACCCGGCCAAGTATGAGTCTTATAATGGAGTATTGTTATTTCAATACCTGTCGGCTCCAGAAGCACACCAGGCCCCTCAACTGGGGAGGTGGCTCTGGGTAAGAATGAGGGGAGCTCTTTCCTCACTTATCTTAACCTCCTTTCCCCTTCCCAGGGTTCGGCCCTGTCTTTACAACCAGTGACCCTGACAGCTTCTGGCAACAGCTTAATGAGATCCATGCCTTGGGGGGTGGAGACGAGCCTGAGATGTGCCTGTCAGCCCTGCAGGTCTGGCCCCTCCCTTCTTCCCCGTTTCCTGGCCCCACCACCAGGGGGAGCTAGATCCCTCCTGGGGCTCCCCACCACCTTCAGCACCTAGATCCACTAGCTTCACTGTAGGGTTCCCGGGCCATATTCCCTTCTGCTTCATCCTCCGTGGCTCTACCCATTCCCCTCCTACTGCCATTGTTAACACTGGTCGTTGCCTTCCCTGCCAGCTGGCCCTGCTGCACACACCTCCACTCTCAGATATCTTTGTCTTCACGGATGCCTCCCCCAAGGATGCCTTTCTCACCAACCAGGTGGAATCCCTGACTCAGGAGCGGCGCTGCCGGGTGAGCAGAGCTAGTGGGAGACCCAGTGTTAGCCTCCCAGGGATGTGAGAGACCCTGTGATGACAATCTCATAACGAGGGTTGCACCACACTATGGTGGCCCAACAAGCCTTGGTATATGGTGGGAGAAGCAGACAATGAGTGGAACATTTCCTGATACCTTTAATGATATACGTAAGAGGCCCTACCCTTAATAACGCTGAATTTTTATTTGACCCTGCCTAATAAACAATGTGAAGAACTGGGGCTCTAGTCGCCAAAAATCCACTGTGACAGTTACAAGGGGGTGGCCAACTACTAACTGAAGGCAGGGGGTTCTGTCATTGGGATTCCCCACCCCAGCAGCCAGAAGGCAGGCAGAGACCTTATCACAAACCATCAGCTCTGGAGAAAGCTTGAGCACAGGGATTCTCATTCATAATAGTGGATGGCACTTGGACACCCCAATCACTGAGCTCTCTTCTGGGTACAGGTAACATTCCTGGTGACTGAAGATACATCAAGGGTTCAGGGTCGAGCTCGGCGTGAGATCTTGTCCCCTCTGCGTTTTGAGCCATACAAAGCAGTGGCCCTGGCCTCAGGAGGAGAGGTGATCTTCACCAAAGACCAGCACATTCGAGACGTGGCAGCCATTGTTGGGGAGAGCATGGCTGCCCTGGTAAGTGGGGGCCAGGGCCCTCACTTAGGAACTGAAGGGTGGTCAGGCTGCACCTCTCTTCTTATAGGAGAAAGGGGAATCACTCTCACTGCTGTGTTGTTCTTCCAGTCACGGGGCAGGAAAGGAAGTTTCTCTTCCTCTTAGATCCATGACTAGCCACTTCTTTTTTTTTTTTTGAGATGGAGTCTTATGGTCACCCAGGTTGGAGTGCAGTGGCACAATCTCGGCTCATTGCAACCTCCACCTCCCGGGTTCAAGGGATTCTCCTGCCTCAGCCTCCCAAGTCGCTAGAGTTACCAGTGCCCACCACCAGGCCTGGCTAATTTTTGTATTTTTTTAGTAGAGCCGGGGTTTCACCGTTTTTTTGGCCAGGCTGGTTTCGTACTCCTGACCGCAAGTGATCCGCCTACCTTGGCCTCCCACAGTGCTGGGATTACAGGCGCGAGCCACCACGCCTGGCCTGCATTGTCCTTTTATATCAGTAAACCTCTCCCCACTTGGCTTCCAGTATTCTGCCTCCAGGGTTACCACAGGAAGTCCTACCATCTTTTTGGGGAGGTGGCTTGTATTTTGCAGAGACAGAGTCTTGCTATATTGACTAAGCTGTTCTTGAACCCCTGGCCTCAAGTGATCCTCCTGCCTTGGTCTCCCAGGTGCTGGGATTACAGACATGAGCCACCACGCCTGGCCTATCATCTTTTAATGGGGCACAAGATGTGATTGTCTCATCCTGAATCCCTTGCCTCCAACTTTGTCTCTGACCATAATAACTTCATCCCTGGCCCCGTGCCCCTCTCTTACTGGTATCCCTTTCTGCCTGTTTGACGTGGTTTCTTTCTTTTTTCTTTTTCTTTCTTTTTTTTTTTTTTTTTTTTTTGAGACAGAGTCTTGCACTGTCGCCCAGGCTGGAGTGCAATGGTACAATCTTGGCTCACTGCAGCCTCTGCCTGTTGGGTTCAAGCGATTCTCCTGCTCCAGCCTCCCAAGTAGCTGGGATTACAGGAGCCCACCACCACACCTGGCTAATTTTTTGTATTTTTTTTTTTTTAGTAGAGATGTAGTTTCACTGTGTTGGCCAGGCTGGTCTCGAACTCTTGACCTTGTGATCCACCCGCCTCAGCCTCCCAAAGTGCTGGGATTACAGGCGTGACCAACTGCGCCCGGCCCAATGACGTGGTTTCTTTCTATCTCCCCTTTCTTCTTTGTTCCTCATCCCATACCTCATCTTCTTCCCCATTTTCTGGTCCTGCCAATCCCTCAAGGTGACTCTTCCCCTGGACCCTCCTGTTGTGGTGCCTGGGCAGCCACTTGTGTTCAGCGTGGATGGGCTGCTCCAGAAGATCACAGTCCGGATCCACGGAGACATCAGCAGCTTCTGGATCAAGAACCCTGCAGGTACCTCTGAAGGTAGAGGGAAGAGAGGGGACCGGGGAATAGACAATCGAGGGGATGTACTCAAGGAGAGCAAGTGCTTCATGTGACAATCTCTTCCCTGACCCCAGGGGTCTCCCAGGGCCAGGAGGAAGGCGGGGGTCCTCTAGGTCACACTCGCCGCTTTGGGCAGTTCTGGATGGTGACCATGGATGACCCTCCACAGACAGGAACCTGGGAGATCCAGGTCACAGCTGAGGACACCCCTGGGGTGAGAGTGCAAGGTAAGGAGGGAGGTGTTCCTGGGAAGGGGAAGCAGAGACTGCAGGCCTCAGAGAACACGATCAGTCACATTCCTTTCAGGAAGGGCTCTGACTGCCTTTGCCCTTTCCCAGCCCAGACCTCCCTGGACTTCCTCTTCCACTTTGGGATCCCCATGGAGGATGGACCCCACCCTGGCCTCTACCCCCTGACTCAGCCAGTTGCAGGTACATTTATTCCCTGAGCCCCCACCCACCTAACCCCCAGTTTTATATATATATATAAAATATATAATATATAATATATATATTATATATATAATGTATATATGTATACATACATCTGTGCATATGCATAACTTTTATATTGAGTTATAATTTACATAATGTGCACTAAAGTGTACAGTTTGATGGATTTCATATAATACACCCAGTTCAGGATATAGAACATTTCCAGCACCCCAGAACTCCCTCCTGATGCTCCCCATCAATACCCCTCGAAGGTAACCTATTTTCCCATCCATACTCCCCAGAGGGAACCCCTATTTTGAAGGCCATTAATTCTTTTCTCCCTGTGTCTCCGAATCTCACAATGTTCTCCCCTCCTCGCCCCTGTCCCAGGTCTTCAGACCCAGCTGCTGGTAGAAGTGACAGGGTTGGGTTCCAGAGCCAATCCTGGGGATCCTCAGCCGCATTTCTCCCACGTCATCCTTCGAGGGGTCCCAGAGGGTGCCGAACTAGGCCAGGTGCCCTTGGAGCCCGTGGGACCTCCGGAGCGAGGTCTCCTCGCAGCCTCGCTGTCGCCCACGCTGCTGTCCACCCCTAGACCCTTCTCCCTGGAGCTGATTGGCCAGGACGCAGCGGGGCGGCGCCTGCACAGGGCTGCCCCTCAGCCTAGCACTGTAGTCCCTGTCCTTCTGGAGGTGAGACGCCAGGGGAAAGTGCGGCTGGGGCTGGAGAGAGTTAGAGCGGCCCCTTCCCTGAAGAACCCTTCTCTGCAGCTTAGTGGCCCCTCGGGTTTCTTGGCCCCGGGCAGCAAAGTCCCGCTCAGTCTCCGCATCGCCAGCTTCTCGGGCCCTCAGGATCTTGACCTTAGGACTTTCGTCAACCCCAGCTTCTCCCTCACCTCCAACCTCTCCAGGTGAGGCTCATGAACCCTCCAGCTCCCTCTGGCATCTTGCCCGGCCAATGCTTATCCCAAGCCCTGCCCCTGTCCCCCTCCGACTGGCCCTCAGAATCCTCCTCTCCGCTCCCGTGCCCCTGCAGGCGTCCCGACTCTAGGCTCTGGGCAGCCTGGAGCTTTAGCGACGCCTATATCCTCTCTCCAGGGCTCACCTGGAACTGAATGAGTCGGCCTGGGGCCGCCTGTGGCTGGAGGTCCCAGATTCAGCGGCCCCGGATTCCGTGGTGATGGTGACTGTGACTGCAGGGGGACGAGAAGCCAACCCAGTACCCCCGACTCATGCTTTCCTCCGGCTCCTGGTATCGGCCCCAGCCCCGCAGGTGAGGAACCACTACTTTCCATCACAGGGTGGGCAAGGCCGGGGAGGGTGGTGTAGGTTTAATTTGAGTACAGCTCTAGCACACCCTGTCATTCTCTTCCTTTTCCCCACAGGACCGGCACACCACCCCTACCGGCTCATCTGACCCGATCCTCACCACGGCCACCCCTGCCTTTTCCCCCTTCACATTGGTGACTCAAGGCAGGGCTGGGGCAGGGCTGGCTGCGGGCAGCCCCTGGTGGGGCACAGTTGGAGGGGTGCTGCTTCTGCTAGGCCTGGCCTCCTGGTGACACAACGGGCTCTAAAGGGATGGGTCTCCAGCACTATTTTCAACCTGCCCCATTGGTAAGAAGACCTGGGACACATTTGTCACATAGGTCTTAGGACCTTACCTCTCCTAGCTGGGATGAAGGTTTTCTCTTTTTTGTTGTTGTTGTTTTTTTTTTGAGATGTAGTTTTGCTCATTGCCCAGGCTGGAGTGCAGCGGCGCAATCTCGGCTCGCTGCAACCTCTGCCTCCTAGGTTCAAGCGATTCTCCTGCCTCAGCCTCCCAAGTAGCTGGGATCACAGGTGCCCGCCACCACGCCCGGCTAATTTTTTGTATTTTTAGTAGAGACAGGGTTTCACTATGTTGGCCAGGCTGGTCTCAAACTCCTGACCTCAGGTGATCTGCCTGCCTCGGCCTCCCAAAGTGCTGGGATTACAGGCGTGAGCCACCGTGCCCAGCCAATGAAGGTTTTCTTTCTCCATCACATCCCTTTCCTTTCTTAGAAACTTCGAGACTGGGGCTGGGTGCAGTGGCTCACGCCTGTAATCCCAGCACTCTGGGAGGCTGAGGCAGGAGGATCACTTGAGCCCAGGAGGTTGAGGCTGCAGTGAGTTGTGGTCGAACCACTGCACTACAGCCTGAGCGACAGTGAGACCCTATCTCAGAAACAAAACAAAACAAAACACCCTGCAAGACTGGGATAGAGGGCAATGGATATTCCCACAATGCACTTTTCCTAACCCTATGAGAAACAAACCAAAGACATTTTTGGAGAAAGCTGCTTTCTGGAGCAGTTTCAGTTTTATTTTTGTATTTAAGGCTGAAGGACAGTTTCAATAAACATGCTTCTTCCCAGAGGGATTTCAAAGAAAGATCGTTTTTGCATGTCATATAGGGGAGAATGAGGACATGAGACACCAAGAAGATGAAGTTTTCAGGAGCAGAGGAGAAACTTTACACCAACATGTCTGAACTTCATTGACTCACTACCTGGAGCCATTTTTTAGCTGTTGAGTTAAGAAACAGAAAAAGGAGCCTGGGGCTTCTGACTCTTTCACCAGGCTTAGGGGAGTGAGAGGAGGGTTTAGACACGGGTAGGGCCTCTTGGCCCCTTGGTGCAGCCCCGCTGAGCCATCTCCTCCTTTGGCTGGGTGACTCCTTTCTGCTGCCTTGACAACTCCTGGAGGAGAAACAGATGGGGCCTCTGGGCTCCTCCCAGCCCTGTAGGGTGGGGCTCCTGCCCTCCTTCTTGAAGTTTACCTGTTGCTGCCACAAGTTCTGCTCCCTTCGTCTTTCCTTTGAATCCTGGGTGGTGCAGGAACTAGCCTTGTTCAGTGGACTTGGGGAGAACTGGAGGGGAAATTCGCTGTGTTTTCTGTTAAGCCAGCACTGACCCCAACAACTCCCCTCTCTAGTCCAACTTCCCAAAAGTCTAAACTGAAAACAATAAACTCACCTTCTCATGAATCAGATTCTGCAAACAGATGTTCACCTTTTGAATCTGGGCTAACGGGGGGCGACCAGGCTCTGAGTGTAAATCTGTTAGAAAATTCTAGAGGAGGAGTTGGAGGCTGACAACATGGTGAAAACCTGAGGTCGTCTGCCACTCTATTCCTGTCACCACAGGCCATCCCTCTCATCTGGATCCCCTCGTCCCAGTACCCTCCCAGGCAGGTGGGAAAATCCAGTACTCTCCACCTCCATCTCTTTAGCACATCAGTTCCTCCATCTCCCTCAAATAGCACAATACCCCCTTTCACTACTCTTCATGGAGCCTCCCTGTCCATCCCTGCCCCATTGGAATAATCCAGGCCACACCCTCATCTCCATGGAGTGATCCAAATCCCTCTGAATGGAATGCAGACCAGCTTCCTCCAGCCCCAACAATGAACACCAACTTAACACTTGGTGGCATCCTGTCATTACGATGCTGCCTCCAACTCATGATCCCTGACCATTAACTCTCCCCTCTCCAGAGTGGTCTCAGGCTGTGTCTACACATTCCCTGTTCCTCCCTCCCTGGTCCTCCCCCCATTCACACAGAGGGGCAGCCCCCATACCTCACCAAGGGCCCCTAGATGCAGCTGCTGTCGCTGTGCCTCCCTCAGATGGTCTTCAAACCAGGCCTGGCCATGCTGTAGCAGCTCCAGACCCTGCCACAGGGCATCCTGTTCTCTCTCCAGAGCCTGCATCCTGCGTAGCTGGGAAAGGCAATCACAGAGGCTGACTCTCACGCCACAGTAGGGCTCTGGGTTATGGCCCTTTCTCTCCACCCCTAGTTGGGTTCACTGTGTGGTCACTGAGTGTGAACCCAGACTGGCCACTGAGGACCTGGAGGGCAAGGGGAGGCAGGCGGGAACACTGTGGGCCCTCAAGTTGAATGGAAATATAAAGGGCAGATCTATTGAGAGAGTTCCCCTGGGACCTCTTGTTGGGCTGATACTCACCCAAAGGAAGAAGCTCTGGGCCCCTGGGTCTTGGCGGCTTGTCCCCAGCGGCAGCAGCAGGACTGTGTAGGGAGCCTGCACCAAGGGCACCCCGCCAGAGCCCTGGCTCCCCATGGCTCTGAGGTGGGAAGGGTGGAGCCACTCCCACTGGTGCAGCCCGGGCTGGTCCCTCCCCTCCACCCCTGCCTTGCACCCATCCTGCCTCTGTCAGCCTCTCAGGCCCCTTCCTGCTGTGTCTGTCTGAGGCTGGGGTGTTCCTACTTGAGAAGAGAGACCATCTCCCTTGGACCCCTCTGTCTTCCCTCTAATCTGTTTTGTAGGGCCTCTCTGAAGGGGTTCGTTCTCATGAAGTATCCTGGGGTAGAATCCGGGAGTCTTCCTACAGCAACAACACTGTATTTTTACTGAGGCAGGGCAGGTTCCCCTGTGGACTCCTGCTCTGTGTTTTGGATCTTTCCTAGTCTCTTGTTTTGAGACTAAAGAAACAATATCTTTCTTCAAAATAAACTTTATTCCTAATATGAAACAAAATTTCTAGAGAAACTAAAAACTCTGCGTCTGAGGGAGATAAGGAAACAAAGAGGGCATGGCAGCCCACCGGAGTCTCAGGAGGCTGGGGAGGACACTGGAAGGACTCTCAGAGGATGCTGGTGGCAGCAGGCAGCACTTCCTGGCTCATGAAAACGTTCAAGTCCAGGTTAGGATCTTCCAAATCCAGTTTCATAAACTTATCCACTAATGTCTGGCAACTGAAGAAGAGAGAAAATCGCAAGATTTATGGCAGAATGGACAACCAAATCCCTGGGCAGAGGGGAGAGGCTGTGGCACAGAAAACCTGGGATCTTGAAGATTTAGGGATTTCAGAAAGAAATGGTGGGTTTCTGAAGGGCAAAGTGCTGGAGGAAGGCTGAGTCCCTGAAAAGGGGAGAAGAGTTGCAGGAGAAGATGCAGAGAGGGTAAAGACACTGGGGCCATATACGCACTTTTCCATTTGGTTCTTCTTTAGCAAATCCTTGACAGGCTTGATGGGTTTTCCACTGCGGATCAAGTCTGAGACCTAGGAACAAGCAAGAAGGTGGGAGGAGTAAGGGGAGTGGGGAAGAGAAGGGGAAATAAGGGTCAGAAATCCTGTGGACCTAGACCCAGGCCCAGTAGGACTAGGAATGAAAGGGAGCTCTGATGTGGAGGTGGTTGCACATTTGGATCTCATCACCTCCTTGCCACGAGCCACAAGCTTGTCAGGAAGCCCAGCCTGGGCAGCTGTGTGGGAGGCATGGCTGGCCTTCGCAACACCTTCGCAAACCTGATAGAAGAAGACAAGATCGTTGCCATCCTCACAGGTCTCCATGGTCTTAAAAGAGAATAAAAGACAGTGTATCATCAATCACCTCCTTCCTGTCCTGAAACCCTTGGCCAATCCTGTGGGGAGGGAGAAAAGGGAAGGGATGTGGTCTCTGTGCTGAGGGAGCCCTTGTTCTGATAGAGGAGCCAATCCCCACCTCTGGGAAATGCCCAGCCTGGGGGTCCCCGAGGAGCTAGATTGGTCTCCTCACCAAATACTGCACCAGGGGCCCTTGTGGCAGCAGTTGTAGCTGAACAAGGCTCAGAAAGTTGGTGGCCACAAAGATGTGGGGGCATGTGGGTCCACGTGCCAGCCAGTGTCGGAGCACAGCGGCCAGAAGCGCGAGCCCATCCACCTGCAAAGAGGGCAGAGGTTAGCATTCGGAGCCATGGGGACCCCATATGCCCCTCTGCACTTGCACTGCCTTTCCCTGTCTCGTGTTCTATTTCTTTTCTGCCCACACAGCCCTATTCCATTCCAGAGGCCCAGCCTCACTGTCATGCTCCTTCATCCTCCTCCATTTTCCCCTCCTTAGTTTCTCCCCTCATCAGTTTCTCCCCTCACCGTGTTGGTTCCCTTTCCAAATTCATCAATAAGGACCAGCGACTGTGCAGTGGCATTGTTCACTGCTTTCGCCACCTGCTGGGTATAAGGTGGACAAGGGAAAGTTAGTATTGGAAGCCCGTAACGCACTGACCACAGTTGGCCTGTGAATAAAGCTGTATACATGCCCTCCCTACTGCACTGCAAGTTCTTGAATGGTGAGGTGCACGCTTTGTTCATCCTCTTTGCCAACAGTGACTCACATGAAACAAGGGTTCAAGAAATGTTTATGGTATTGATTCTTCTTATCTCTGACCTTAGTGCTCCCCACTTTTAGTATAAAGGGCATGCAGCAGAGGGCATGCTTTCCTGTTATGAGCATTTTCAGGGGTTCCTTTCCCATTATCCCCTTCCTCAATCCCACCTCCCTTTGTTCCCTTTGACCTGGTTGAGGTCGATCATGAAGGTGGAGAGGCCAAGGGAGATGGATTCGCAGCTATGAATTCGTGTGAAGATGGCGTCTACTGCCCCAATTTCGGCCTCCTCTGCTGGCACAAAGCTGCCTACCAGGGCCATGAATGTGATCAAGCCTACCTGAATAGGGAAGGAGACAGGGCCTGGGGCCTGGTGCCGTGGGCTGAGGTGAAAGTGAGGCTCAAGGCATGAATGGCACATCAAAGAGAAATGGACAGGGTGAAACAGGAGAAATAGGTAACAGACACACTGACTCTGTCTCTCCTCCCCGAATCCTGACCATAGCCCTGTGGGCTAATTTAGAATCAGTGAAGAGGCACGGGACGTGGGCAGAGACATACTTGGGAGTGGTGTGTACCTACTCAGAGGCAGGTGAAGGAATTTGGGCCACGGAAAGTTCCATTAGAGCATGGCTCTCCAGTGGAGAATAAGAACATGTGAGGTGGAAGCACAGGGATGTGGGTGATGGTCCTTTCATGAAGAGCGGGGTCAGAAAATGGGAGAAGAGCTGCAGGAGCCTGAGTTGGCTGGCAAGTAGGGGTGGAGTAGATGCAGGAGACGCCAGAGGCCCAGGCTGCAGGGCTTCTCCTCACCTGTTTGAGGTATATGCTCTTCCCTGATGAGTTGGGTCCAGTGATGACTTTGACCCTCCCTTTGTCCCCACCACATTCTGTGGAGTTGGGCACAAAGGTTCGGGCACAGAGTTCCATCAGAGGATGTCTGCAGTGGGCGGAGAGGCACCTCGCATGGCTTGTGGATCAAGATAGATGAACCCCCAGAAGATGTAGCCTTTGGGCCCCTCATGTCTATTCCTCCACCCGCCTCTATTCTTACCTGCCATTCTGGATTCGTACCCCAAGGACTTGTGGGGAGTAACGCGGCCTTGAGTAGCCATAGTCCCGGGCAGCACTGGCAAGAGCCAGCAGGACGTCCAGGCGGGAGGCAAGGTCCAATACTCGGGTTAAGACAGCTGCTCGTGCCAGCACCTGGCACTGTAGCTGGTACATCAGCAGCGTCTCCTGGTCTGGGAGTGGGTGAGGAAGGGAGCTGGAGGTCAGTTCCAGGGGAAAGTGAAGGAGAGGCAGAGGCCCCTAGGGGGATCTGGAAACAGGTTGCAGATACAATCTGAGACCTCAAGACATTCAGAGGAAAAGATAGAGTCAGAGTGAGCGAGACAGAGAGCAGGAAGAGGAGGGGCCTGTTGGAAGCATCCCCAAGTTGCCCACTCCCCTCCTTCCCCTGGCTGCTGCTTTTTTTAAACATCTTACAATGCATATAACCTCTGGCTTTTCCTCACCCCGGATCTCGCAGTGCAGGTCCCCCAGCAATGCATCCAGCTCCTTGGTTCGGGCACTACGATAGTGCAGCTTCTCCTCTGAGAGAAACTGGGTACAGGGGTTCAAAGCTGTGGACTTTGCATCTCTTGGTCCTCCTCTCCTTCCCCATCTTTCTAACCCCACCTCCAGCCCCTAACTCTGACTTCTCTTTCCTTTGTCTCAGTGCTGGTAAAGCTCAGAGTAAAACTACAGAGGAGAGATCCCATATTGGGCAGTGCTGCTGTAGAGTAACGCTCTTCCTCAGCTGCTGACTCATTTTCCTCATCACTCACCTTACAGAGGTTGAGGGTCTTACCATGAAGTCCAGTCCATTAATCTCAAAGTCACTGGCCTCTACCATGGAAGGCAGGCGGGGAATAGAAAGAAGGAAGCCAATCTGGGGAGAGTAAAGAGGAGATACTCTACTCTCCTGCTTGGAGACTTACTGGACACCTCCCCACCCTAGAGGGAGCTTAAAAGATCCCTGTATCCCCACAAAAAAGTGTTCATGTTCTTCAGGCTGCCCCACAAGTTTTCTTATCTACCAGTATGTCTTTCATAAGCCTAATATCTCCCCCAAAATACATCTGAAGGCTACACCCACTCTCCTGCCCTCACCAGAGGGATGTAGATGACACTGCATGAAGGAATACGGGAGTCCAGATTCTCCAGCTCCTTGCGGGCAACCTCAGTAAGGAAACTGGGAAGTCCCATCAGTCTTCGCTTTTCTACGAGGGTGGAAGACACGTGGTTATCAAAAGTGAGTCTCCTGCCCTGGTTGCTATGAAGATCCCCAGCTGTGGTGACCACCTGCCAAGGATGGTACTCCATCACTGCGCAGGGCTCACAGGCCCATCCACACCCAACACTCACTCTCATCAATTTCAGGATCTATGTTGGGGAGGACTGTGAAGCGATTTTCAGCAAGGCTGCCCTCAAAGTCCACCTGAGGAGATAAGTACTGTTTCTTAGGACCTGGCACCCTCTGTCCTGTTCCTCAGCTCTCCTTGGGCCCCAATTCTCCCTGCAGTCCTCCTTTAACTCTCACCCTCCAGATACTTCCCTGAAGTTCTGCTGCCTCCTCCCACCATCCCATTCTTTATCCAATTGACCTCAATATCTTCCATGTTTCCCCATCTTGCACACTGCATTCTCTCTCCCTGACCTCCCTGGGTGCACTCCCTTTTTCCTTCTACTCACTACTTTCCCAATGAGGCTGGCGATATGGTGCAGGTCATCAGAGAACTCTTGGGCAATGTCCCGAAAGAGCTGGATGGACTGCGGCAGGGAGCGGCAGGCATCCCTCAGGCCCAGGGCACTGTACACAGTCTGTGAGAGAAACACAAAAAGGAGGACAGGCCACATCCAGCTCGGGTTGAGGTGGTGATAGGGACAGACTCAGAAGAACAAAGACCAGTAGGGAAGATCACAGTAACAAAGAGGGAAGATCTCAAAGGCAAAAAGAAACAGTGAGAGGCACTGTACCAAACACTGAAACTACAAAGACAATTAAGATATGGTCCTGGCCAGGCACAGTGGCTCATGCCTGTAATCCCAGCACTTTGGGAGGCTGAGGTGGGTAGATCACCTGAGGTCAGGAGTTCGAGATCAGCCTCACCAACATGGTGAAACCCTGTCTCTACTCAAAATACAAAAATTAACTGGGCTTGGTGGCATGCACATGTAATTCCAGCTACTTGGGAGGCTGAGGCAGGAGAATCTCTTGAACCCGGGAGGTGGAGGTTATAGCCAGATCACGCCATTGCACTCCAGCCTGGCCGACAGAGCGAGACTCTGTCTCAAAACAAAACAAATAAACAAAAAAAGATATGGTCCCTGTCCCAGATGTGCTCACAGTCTAGGAAGGAAGACAGAAATACATGCAGAAGATTTAAAAGTGAGGTGGTAGGTGCTTTGATAGAGGGTTGTGCAAACTCTAAAACAAAGGAGTTTGTACAGAGTCGGGAGAAAGAGAAATATAGCTATAAAAGGCCATGAGTCTGTAATGATACAAGAAGAACAATGACAAAAAAACCTCATCGGCTATCAGGGCCGGGCGCGGTGGCTCACACCTGTAATCCCAGCACTTTGGGAGGCTGAGGCGGGTGGATCACGAGGTCAGGAGATTGAGACCATCCTGGTTAAGAGGGTGAAACCCTGTCTCTACTAAAAGTACAAAAAATTAGCCAGGCGTGGTGGCGGGCGCCTGTAGTCCCAGGCACTCAGGAGGCTGAGGTAGGAGAATGGCGCGAACCCGGGAGGCAGAGCTTGCAGTGAGCCGAGATCGCGCCACTGCACTCCTGCCTGGGCAACAGTGCAAGACTCCATCTCAAACAAACAAACAAACAAACAAACAAAAAACAAAAAAATCTCATGGCTATCTTGGAGAATGTTAGGGAACTAATTTACCATATTGATAGCTAGTAAATAAAGGTGGGGGGTGCTCATTTCTGCAGCACATATACTGAAATTTCGAAGGTTACAGGGATTAGCACGGCCACTGGGCACGGATGACACAAATTCAAGAAGCGTTCCATATTGGGGAAAAAAAAAAGGGCTGGGCATGGTGGCTCACACCTGTAATCCCAGCACTTTGGGAGGCCGAGGCGGGTGGATCACGAGGTCAAGAGATCAAGACCATCCTGGCCATCATGGTGAAACCCTGTCTCTACTAAAAATACAAAAATTAGCCAGGCATGGTGGCACACGCCTATAGTCCCAGCTACTCGGGAGGCTGAGGCAGGAGAATCACTTGAAACCCAACCCGGGAGGTGGAGGTTGCAGTGAGCCAAGATTGTGCCACTGCACTCCAGCCTGGTGACAGAGCAAGACTCTGTCTCAAAAAAAAAAGAGTGGGGGAAATATCAAGCAATTTTCTGTATTTCTATATGATTTCTATCACTTGGCAACCAAATAGTACATAAAAGGAAGTTTCTCTTTACAGAAATTTCTGGCTAATAAATGAAGAAAGAATCAGAGATTTAAATGCTACTACTTTGTAATTGCTAAAGAATTAATAGATGGCTGGGTGTAGTGGTTCACGCCTGTAATCCCAGCACTTTGGGAGGCTGAGGCGGGTGGATCACCTGAGGTCAAGAGATCAAGACCATCCTGGCC